>NC_000003.12:172493452-172644967 GCF_000001405.40 Homo sapiens | reverse complement strand
TCCTCTCAGCCAAGCCTTTTTTTGACAAGCCTTTGTGAAATTGCAACCCACGTTCCTCTGTTTCATTTCTCTCCAAAGCTATCATCAATATCTGACAAACCACATATTTGACTTATTATGTTTATTGTAATAAGTGGAAATAGACAATATGAATTTTATAAAGGCAAACATTTCAGGATTGTTGTTTGTTTTGTTTATTGCTGAATCATTAGTGCCTGGAAACATCCCTGGCATATGGTGAGCATTCAGTAAATATTTATGGAATGAATGAATGAAGCACCTTAATTCTCATATAAAACATCCAAGATATTTTGATATCTTTTTCATAAGTGAGGAAATTGAGACCCAAGAAGCTAAGTGATGTGCATAAGGCCAGATAGCTAGCTCATCGCATAGATGGGGTAGGGGAATAAGTCAGATAGTTCCTGAGGTCTCTGGACCTTTTTGATCCAGTTTCAAGCCACTATTGAAGGGAGCTTATAATGCTGAGTGGCAGGGCCATGACGCCAACCACTTTTTCTTGCCCCAGGCTCATTCAGTTCTCTTCTTCCCTCTGCCTCTCTGTCAGCTATCCTCCTGTTCATGGTGCGCCACCTCCTTGCTCCTACTCCAGATTTGAGTGGATCTTTTCTTCTGCAGTCTCTTGAAAGGGGCTGCTCAGAGTCACTGAGGCAGTTCTGACCCTGTTGACAGAAGCCCTAGAGTCACCCAAAAGCCCTAGAGTCACCCCAAAGCCCTAGAGTCACTCAAAAGCCCTAGAGTCACTCAAAAGCCCTAGAGTCACCCCAAAGCCCTAGAGTCACCCCAAAGCCCTAGAGTCACTCAAAAGCCCTAGAGTCACCCAAAAGCCCTGCAGTCACCCAAAAGCCCTGCAGTCACCCAAAAGCCCTAGAGTCCAGACAGCTGGAGCCAAATCTGCTGAGGAAGCAGCCACCGCACCTGGACCTTTCTGGACTCTCAGCAAGGCCTCCCAGATTACTCAAGGGTTGTCAGTGCAGTTTGGTAATACAGGAACCTTCAAGGAAATGATTTGGGCAGTTGGCCTGAGCAGCTGGCCAGAGGAAAGCACAGGGGATGTTTAAGGAGACAAGGCCCTACAGCTCGGTGTTGAGGAACAAGCTTCAGGGGCCATTCAGTTGGTTTCTTGTGTAGCCCCAGCTCCTTGCAGGCCTGAGAAAAGGAGGGAAGCTGGGCTTGCTTCAGTTGGCACCGTGCAGATTTTCCATTTACCACAGGGCCTACCCTCCGGGCTTCAATATCACTATTTGGCCACATGCCCTAAACCGTTCCTCCATTCCCTTCTCCCCTTATCAGCATCTGTCTCAAGTAAAATGGGTATTGCAAGGCTTATCATAAGACACAGAAGAATAAGATATATTTAAGAGGATTTTTTTGAAAAGGGCTAAAATTTAGAAGGGACTGCTTTGATTTAAACTTTGCATTGTTCCTAATCTATACAACATGGTGTCCAGATGGGAGGCATGAGCATATGGCAGTCAAGTTCCATCACTCATGACTGTGTGACCTCAAGCAGGTCATTTAAACTCATGTGCAAAATGGGGTTGAGAACCCTTCCTGTATGTTTAGAATGTGAGCTACTGGGAAAACAGTGAGGTATGGTGGTGTGCCTTACTTGAGAGGCTGAGGTACAAGGATTACTTGAGCCCAGGAGTTCGAGTCCAGCCTAGGCAACACAGGGAGACCCTATTTTTTAAAAAACAAAGCAAAGGCCAGGCGCGGTGGCTCATGACTGTATCCCAGCACTTTGGGAGGCTGAGGCAGGTGGATCACCTGAGGTCGGGAGTTCGAGACCAGCCTGATCAACAACATGGAGAAACCCCATCTCTACTAAAAATACAAAATTAGCCTGGCATGGTGGTGCATGCCTGTAATCCCAGCTACTGGGGAGGCTGAGGTAGGAGAATCACTTGAACCCGGGAGGCGGAGGTTGCAGTGAGCCGAGATTGAGCCATTGCACTCCAGCCTGGGCAACAAAAGCGAAACTCTGTCTCAAAAAACAAACAAACAAACAAACAAAGCAAAAACAAAAGAATGTGAACTCCTGGAAACAGAAATCACGTCTTCCTTCCTTTGCATCTCCAGAACCCAGTACAAGGCTTGGAGTGTGCATGCTAGGTAAATGCATGCTGAGTTGGGATAATGACTGCAGAGAATTGTCATGAGAATCATTTTAGACAATTGATATAAGAGGAGTTCAGATATTCAAAAGCACTAGCTGAGTCTGGAGGATTATTGCTCTATCTAGCCTATAGAATGAAAAGGACAACTTACACGTTTATTTATCAGCATGTTTGGAACTCACAGTACTTTTTTTTCTTTTTCTTTTTTTTTTTTTTTTTTTTTGTAGAAATAGCAAGATAGTAATCCTTGTTAAGATTCAGGCTAACCCAAGAGCACTTTATAACCTATGCTGTAGTTGAGGTACAGCCAACATTATATGATCATGATGTTTCTCTTGGAAACGATGTTCAGGCCTGGTGTAGTGGCTCACACCTGTAATCCCAACACGTTGGGAGGCTGAGGCAGGTGGATCACTTGAGTCCAGGAGTTCAAAACCAGCCTGGACAATATGGCAAAACCCTGTCTTACAAAAAGTTAAAAAACAATTAGCCAGGCATGGTGGTGCATGCCTGTAGTTCCAGCTACTCAAGAGGCTGGGTTGGAAAGACTGCTTGAGCATAGGAGATCAAGGCTGCAGTGAGCTGAGATTGCGCCACTGCACTCCAGCCTGGGTGACAGAGAGAGACCCTATCTCAAAACAAAACAAAACAAAAAAATAGAAAAAAAAAGCAGTTCAGAGCGGGATCTCAGTGGCTCGCTTCTTTCTTCTTTCTTTTATTCCATAAATATTTACTGGATTCCTGTTTTGTGCTAGTTACCGTGTTAAATGCTGGTGACATAACAATGTAAGAATGACTTAATTCCTGCCCTCATAGAGTTTATGATCTAGAAGAGAAAGACCTTGAATAAGTAATGTTAAAAGTGTGATAAGTGATGGGAAGTAGAAGGGCAAGTAGTAACAGAGACATCTAACAGGCAAGATCTTACCTCGTTTAAAGGATCAGAAAAGGTGTCTTAAAGAAAGTGATGTTTGGATGAAACCCCTAAGAATGAGCAGAACCTCATTAGAAAAAGTGGATTTGTCATGGAAGACCAAAGTGGTGTAGTAAGAGGGCTTGGGAGGGGAGGGACGAGGCAGAGAGCAGTGAGGGAATGAAATGTGAGAGAAGACAGACGGAGGGACGACTGAGGAAAACAGAAGTAAGTGTGGATGATTCCAAGAGTCTTTAGGAGGATGGTGGACGCTTGGTTCTTCTGGAGCTCCGCCTTCTAGAAGACAGGCTGTCTGGAGCCAGCAGCTCCTTGCCTTGAGGCCCTCTAGAGTGGGTAGTGGCGTCATGGCTTTGCTATTCTTTCATGTGGATTATGGCACTGGGGAAGGTTTTTATCTGAGGAAGCTGGTGGGCAGGGGTTCCAGCAGCCTTGGTAATGGAATCACCTCTTATGAGCACCAGGAGTTGGGACTCCATGATTCATGTCACTCATGCTGGCTCAAGGGTCTGGGGACAGACCAAATGACTGATAGGTGAAGTCCTTGAGTACAAAACCTACGTAAAAGCTATGTCTCCTACTCAGTAGCTTCTACAACGCTATACTATTTTTACATATTAATTGCACAATAAGTATTTGTTAAATACATTACAGTGTTTATCTAAGATTTGCAGATGTATCCTCATTTATACAATCTAGAATATAAAAGGCCTTATATTTATAAATTTCAGTGCAGTTTAACTATAATAGAGTATTTTTTTACCTCTAGTTTATGTATTTTTTATTTATTTATTTTTGAGACAGAGTCTCACTCTGTTGCCTAGGGTGGAGTGCAATGGTGCAGTTTTGGAGAAACAGTCATCCATCCACATTCCTTCCCCTCGAGCACAGTTTTATTATATGTTCTTTTAATGAAAAGGAAGCTTCTGGGTGGGATGCAGTGGCTCACACCCGTAATTCCAGCACTTAGGGAGGCAGAGGTGAGAGGATTGCTTGTGGCCAGGAATTTGAGGCTGCAGTGAGTTATGATGGTGTCACTGCACTCAAGCCTGGGTGACAGAGCAAGACTGTCTCTTAAAGGGGACAGGGGGCCGGGCGCAGTGGCTCATGCCTATAATCCCAGCACTTTGGGAGGCTGAGGCGAGCGGATCACGAGGTCAGGAGATCGAGACCATCCTGGCTAACACGGTGAAACCCCATCTCTACTAAAAATACAAAAAATTAGCCAGGTGCGGTGGCGGGCGCCTGTAGTTCCAGCTACTCTGGAGGCTGAGGCAGGAGAATGGCGTGAACCTGGGAGGCAGAGCTTGCAGTGAGCCGAGATTGTGCCACTGCACTCCAGCCTGGGCGACAGAGCGAGACTCCGTCTCAAAATAAATAAATAAATAAAATAAATAAATAAAGGGGGCAGGGAAGAAAGGAAGCTTTGCTTTTTTTTTGACCTTGTGATGCAACAGTAGAAAGGAAACTTCTGTTAGTGGAATAAATAGATTCTCCCTCTGGAGTTGTCTCACTCAGAGAGCACAATCTGGATTTAATTATTGATTTGTTTTGGATATCCCCTACTAAAAATACCCCTAAGACAGTGGGGAATATTAACTCTTTTATGTTCCCAAAATGAATCTATTGAGATTTTCTTGGGTGATGGTGAAAAGTAAAAAAGCTGGAAAAGGAGTGAGGCTTATCCTCTCTCCTGCTGAATCTGATAGGAGTATAATTTTATTCCAGAATGCCGCATGTATCTTTCACCTAAGTAGTACTATATGAAGAGAACTTGGCGTCCCTTCCACAGCAGAAGGTTGTGCATATGGCTTCCAGGTTAGGTTATTTTGAGGAAGAATTGCGCATTTCAACCCTCTTAGCACATTGGTGTCATTCGGGGCTTGGGGGCATAGGTTTGAAGTCAGTTGTGAGTTCAGATCCCAGTTCTGCCACTTCTAGCTGTTACAGACAAGTTACACATTTTCCTTCAACCTCACATTCTCATCCTTAAACCCAGAAGTTTGCTTGAGATTTGAGTGACATACGTCTGTAGAACATTTGGCAAGGTACCTCACCCAGCAGGAATATGGTCATTTTGATAGACTGTACACATTAATTTGATTAAACCTCATGCCTGAATTTACACCAAATTTTGTTCTTCTGATGGGAGTTACATGCAGTGATAAAGCTAGGTAATCCACTTGTCATTGCAGAGTCATCCTCTCCCTGAAGTGAGTTGGGCAAATTGAGGAATATATATGCATCCATAATATTAATATGATATAACATCTTTGATATTTACGTATCAGGTGCTTTAAGATCTGCAGTTTTTAAATATTGAATGTCAGAACCCTCTTTCACTACTTTGCAGGGACATAGCTTTGAGCACCAGCAGCAGAGAGCAGATATATTTATGTATGCTTTATTTGGCTGTACCACCCATGAATTTCCTCCTGATTCTTGGCTTTCTGTGTCTAGATATTACAAAATTTTGATATACTTCTTAGGTGAATTTCAAGCTACTTTGAAAGTTCATCTTATGCCAGGTAACCTAATAAATATCTACTTTCAGGATATTCTTCAGTCTACAAAGTCTCCATTTTTTTTTTTTTTTTTTGAGACGGAGCCTCACTCTGTCACCAGTCTGGAGTGCAGTGGCGTGATCTCGGCTCACTGCAACCTCCAACTCCCTGGTTCAAGCGATTCTCCTGCCTCAGCCTCCCGAGTAGCTGGGATTACAAGCACATGCCACCACACCCAGCAATTTTTGTATTTTTAGGAGAGATGGGGTTTCACCATGTTGGCCAGGATGGTCTCGATCTCCTGACCTCGTGATCCGCGCACCTTGGCCTCCCCAGGTGCTGGAATTACACCATGCCTGGTGCTGGTGAGCCACCGTGCCTGGCCAAAAGTGTCCATTTTTATTGAGTAAAACTGAAGAATGTTTCCAGCATGAAAACAGATGAGGGGAGGGGTTAGGCCATGGATCTTTATGGCACCAGGAACACTCTTGCATCATAACCTGTTTGTTTTTAAGCATGTTTATCCTATTATATAAGCCAATTATTAATTGAGAAGATTGAGCAGTAGCATGTTTTTTTTAGGTTACCAATTGCCTTTGATCAAAGTCTCTCAGACCTTTTCTGAAATAACATCTAAAAACTCAACTTATTTGACATATGGATGCTAGTGGATATGTTCTGACCATCTGGGCAACCAGGAAAACAGTTTATTGTGATATGTGGGATATTGCTGAAATGAAATAACCTTTGTTTTCACAACTTGAGTCATGAAGTACATTTGTTTTTATTAAAATTAAAAGTTCAGCTTGGTAATACTGAAGATTAAAAATTGAGACCCACCCCCCACCCCAAGAACTAGGGGTAAATAGACTCATATGAAATGATGTCATCTAGTGGACAAAACTGCGTAATTCTACTTTTTTGCTCAAATGGAATTATATAGATTATATAGCAGCAGCTTTCATACATAGTGAAAAATCAACTGGAAAAAAAAAGCATTTTGCATGATTAATTGACCACCCCAGATGGAAAAATAAGAAATTAGAAAATTTATTTTATCTGCTATATGGCAAACGCTAAGGGATTTTTTTTTTTTTTTTTTTTTTTTTTTTTTTGGACAGAGTCTCGTTCTGTCGCCCAGGCTGGAGTGCAGTGGCGCGATCTCAGCTCACTGCAAGCTCCGCCTCCACTAAGGGAGTTTTTTTATTGCATTTAGTTTCAAAATGTGGTAATTCCGGAATGACCAGATCCACATTCACTACTTGTCAACGTATTTCACAAACATTTGTCCATTTGATTTTATCTACAATGAATGTCAAGATGTTTAATTACCTAGCAGGATTTTATTTTGAGACAGGGTCTTGCTCTTTCGCCCAGGTCTTGTTCTTTCGATCTCAGCTCACTGCAACTTCCACTTCCTGGGTTCAAGTGATTCTCAGGCCTCAGCCTCCCAACTAGCTGGGATTACAGGTGCATACCACCATGCCCGGCTATTTTTTTTTTGAGATGGAGTCTTGCTCTGTCACCCAGGCTGGAGTGCAGTGGCACCATCTCGGCTCACTGCAACCTCCGCCTCCTGGGTTCAAGTGATTTTCCTGCCTCAGCCTCCTGAGTAGTTGGGATTACAGGCGCCCACGACCGTGCCTGGCTAATTTTTGTATTTTTAGTAGAAACGGGTTTTCACCATGTTGGTCAGGCTGGTCTCGAACTCCTGACCTCAGGTGATCTGACTGCCTCTGCCTCCCAAAGTGCTGGGATTACAGACCTAAGCCACCGCACCTGGCCCTTTTTTTGTATTTTTAGTAGAGATGGGGTTTCACCATGTTGGCCAGGCTGGTCTTGAATTCCTGATCTCAAGTGATCCACCTGCCTCAGCCTCCCAAAGTGCTGGGATTACAGGTGTGAGCCACCGCTCTCAGCCCAACTAGCTGGATTTTAGACTGTGGAAAATAAATGTCTTTATTTAGAGTAGCTTAGAAAAAATTAGTTTGTGAAAATAAGTATGCTAATTATAAGATGGAAATCAAAAGTCTTGAGTCTTCATTGGCTGTTATTAATTTTTAATTAGGTAATTAGTTTTTATCCTACCTAATTTTGGTCTGTTTTTGAGTTTTTGCAAATCAAGTAACTTTTGTATGCCTTAGTTTCTTCGTTTGCAAAATGAAGGTATGTTAATACTCAAAAAAGATTTATTGGATGGATGATTATGTGCCCCTCACATTGGCAGATACTGGAAGCACAGTTATGAATAAAACACAGTTCCTGATATCAGAGAACACAATCTTTAGGAAAAACATATGATAATTTTCATATGAGCCAATAAGAACAGTGAGTGACGTACCCTGGCACATAGAAATATCAAGGAATGGTAGCCAGTTCAAGCCCAAAAGCAAGTGGAGATATGACCAAGGAAGGCTGCCCAGAGGAGGCCAAACCCTCCAGTTAAGGCTTAAAGGATGAGTGAGAATTAATAAGCAAAAGAGGGGAGTAGAGAGTGAGAGGGAACTCTAAACCAAGATTGCCAATGTAGATGTGTAAGATAACACTATGGGTGAGGCATTTGACAAAACCAGAGCTTTCTGGGAATCTTAAGGGGATATGAATTCTACTAGGTGTACAGAGTAGGATTCCAAAGGACTCTGATCTTGCGAAGTGGGGCCAGTTGGAGAAGCCCCAGAAGTATCCCCGAGGGCCTGCTCTAGGCCGTCTGGAAAACTTAGCTTCCCTTTTGTGAGTTAACAACCGGCCTTTTAGTTACAGTCTTCCAGGTATTGAATGCATTTCTTGGGTTTAATGTCAGGCTAATATGGACCTCTCCAGTGAAGTACAGTTTTATTATATGAAGTAAATGATGGACTCATTAAATGTGAGATCAATGAAGTGGTTAATCCTGCCAAGTCACCTCGTAACCCAGAGGCATTATGAATGGAATGCTGACTTCCAGAAATAAAATTCTAAAATCTATTACGGTGCTATCCATGTCTTTGTAATGAACATTCGCCTTTTACTTGTTAGTTTTATTTTGGTTGTTCTTGGTGGTAAGTAGGTTTGGTTTGGTGGCTGATAGTTTAAAGAAAAATAGTACTATTACTAATACAAAATCATCACATTTTAAACTAAGTATTTGATTTGCAAGAAAATGGTTTATTTTTATATTTTATTATTTTTTCTTTTTCATACAATAATTCCATTGAATTAATTTCTTATCTATTTCCAGATTTAAAAGAACCAGTTTCCATCTAAACTTTAAATGTCCCCCAAAATTGGAGAAGGCCTTAAATGAATACAACTTTTGTTTTTACAGATACAGGCTAGTTCCAAAGGTTTATTTTCCTGAGCAAATTCATGATGTTGTACGGGCCACAAAGTATTTCCTGAAGCCAGAAGTCTTACAGAAGTATATGGTTGATCCAGGCAGAATTTGCATTTCTGGTGACAGTGCTGGTGGAAATCTGGCTGCTGCCCTTGGACAACAGGTAACACCACTGTCCTAAGGTGCTGGTGGGTTAAGCGGTGCATGACAAGGTCTAGCAGACCAACACACCCTCCATTATGTGTGGCAAATGCATAGCTGGGTGGGCCGGTCACTAGATGGCCAAATTGTTCATGTGATTACACTTGTAGAGCTCTCAGAGATCTCGTTGAAGTAGGAAGATGAGTCATTGGAGGAAGTATCACCTATGAGTCTTTGTAAAGTCCCTGATTACAGTCAGTGTTAGAGAAGGGCTGACATCCCTTGCTTCTCAGGGCTATGTATGGAACTCCAGTATCCCCTGCTCCTTTTTCATGTTTGACTTGCAAATCGGAGTATTTTTGCTTAAATTCCAGTTCCTAAGATTGTTCCTTACAACTTTGAGCCAAATTAAAACCTTAAAATTTGTTTCCCCAACTTTTTTTTAATGTAAAAGAAAGAAATTAAACGATTCAGCCATTTAAATATTATCTTACAAGTTACTATGAGCTTTACCTGGTTTAATTCTTTGAAAACTATATCTAGCTTCTAATAGCACCCCAATTTTTTTGGCAAGTGGGAAAAAGCACATTTTCTTCCTGTTATGGATGAAGTAACTTAAGACATCTTTGTCTTCTCACCTCCAAATTTCATTTGGTGTCCTCAAATACCATCTGTCATTCTAATTATGATGTACCTTGGCTTCTAACTCTTTTGCTATAATTCAAGAACTTGATTTTCCATTTGGCATTGGCAAGTTTTCCATCCAAATATGGTCAGAAGAGAGTCTTGGCTCAGTGGAGAGAACATTCTTGGCTTTGAAGCCAGACAGCACTGGGATCTAACCCAGGACCCACCGTTGAGTGCTGCGGGGCCCTGGATAAGTCCCTTAACCTCTCTGAGCCTCAGAAAAACGAGGACAGTGTCATCTGATTGCAGGGCTGTTGCAAGGACTTAGTGAGGTGATGTGTATACAATTTTTGGCACATATTCAAAGTGCTATTTACTGACCATTCTTGCTTTTGGAGAGCAGTCATATCTCACCTGGGAATGGGTTTCTAAAGTCCAAGTATGAAGCAGAAGTGTATGGCTAAAGTTACCTTGAAGATCATTTAGTTGTCTATGAAGCTTCATGACTAGTTAGCTTTCTTTTAGATGTTACACGACAAATATATAATTTTGCACACTAGAATTACAAAATGGGGCAATGTTAACACTGTGGGGAGGTGTTGGGGGACTGAGATCTGTTGAGGTAGGGGATTCATTCACATTCCCATGACAACTTCACTCTGGCATATGCTCATTATGTAGAATGGAGGGTGCATTGCCAGAACTATTTAAATTCTGTCTCACCAAGCGTGAAGATGCTCACCAGAAAGCATACCCTGAGGTCCTACTTAAACACTCAGGAGTCTCATAATCTGCTTATTAAGTTTTTTCTGCCCCTCTCTTCTGGAAGAATAAGACTAATTTTTTTCCCCCTAGGAAGCCATGACCTTTTTGGGGGTTTTGTAGGGAATAAAAAATTAAATAAGGTTCACACATTATCCATTCATAATACCTAGGTGTCTTAACTGCCTAAAGATAGATACAAGTACAGGGTTCACTCAAAACTGAGTTGTAAACATCATACCTTTCTTAGTTAAATATCTAGCAGCTTGATAGGGTGGTGATGGTAATGATGGAGAATTATTTTTTAAACTTTATTATTTATACAGTGCCTGGTAGAAATGTAACACTTATACCATTGACAGATTCAGAGTAACACATGAAGCTACTCTACAGGGTATGGTTCCTATAAAAGAAGGCATGCAAAATGAAATAATGTATTTGCTTCCTCTTCTCTAGTTTACTCAAGATGCCAGCCTAAAAAATAAGCTCAAACTACAAGCTTTAATTTATCCAGTTCTTCAAGCTTTAGATTTTAACACACCATCTTATCAGCAAAATGTGAACACCCCAATCCTGCCCCGCTATGTCATGGTGAAGTATTGGGTGGACTACTTCAAAGGCAACTATGACTTTGTGCAGGCAATGATCGTTAACAATCACACTTCACTTGATGTGGAAGAGGCTGCTGCTGTCAGGGCCCGTCTAAACTGGACATCCCTCTTGCCTGCATCCTTCACAAAGAACTACAAGCCTGTTGTACAGACCACAGGCAATGCCAGGATTGTCCAGGAGCTTCCTCAGTTGCTGGATGCCCGCTCCGCCCCACTCATTGCAGACCAGGCAGTGCTGCAGCTCCTCCCAAAGACCTACATTCTGACGTGTGAGCATGATGTCCTCAGAGACGATGGCATCATGTATGCCAAGCGTTTGGAGAGTGCCGGTGTGGAGGTGACCCTGGATCACTTTGAGGATGGCTTTCACGGATGTATGATTTTCACTAGCTGGCCCACCAACTTCTCAGTGGGAATCCGGACTAGGAATAGTTACATCAAGTGGCTAGATCAAAACCTGTAAAGGAGCAAAACTTCCAGAAGCCTCGAGCCCCTCTTGACCTCCTACACCTGCTTTGGAAAGACATGCACTTTTTAGTTGACTAATTCTTCCTCCCATTCCCCTCTACTTGCGAGTTATGGAATTTCTATTCCATAACTGAAGTCTTTATGATAACCTAATTTTTAAAAATGAATTTGACTAACTTAAGTGCAAAACATGTAAATTTGGTTCCCAGAGTGGGCCAATCTCTCTGTTCTTGTTATCTTAGCCAACTATACTGATACCTACAGCTACAGAAAGCAGGACTAGGAACTGGAAATAACTTTGGGTCCTGCCTTCATTAGGACGTTCTTTTTAGAAGCAGTTCTTCCAGCTCTGGATCATAGAGTGACCTTTAATAAGTTAAAAAAACGAGGACTCCTTAATTCTGCTAGAGTTAACCTTGAGTTCAGAGCAGTATTAAATGCGTGCACTTTCAGGTCAGTACTGGGGACCAAGTACCCTCTGGTCTTTTGTGAATGGATGGTTTTGTTTCCTATGGGAATTTTGGCAAAGGTTTTCTGGAAAGAACAAGTTTCTCAAAGGACTTTCTTCCTCTAGAATGTTCATTTTATGAGATCGCTATCTGTAAGTCCAGTTGGATTACAGGAATACTTGAAAGTTACTTTCTACCACTATTAGAAAATATGAAGTCGCATGCACTGGATATCTATATATCATTAGGTTTTTGTTGTGTTTTTGGTTATGCTGTCCCCCTTCTCCTTGGGGAGATATTTGGGAGCAAACTTATTTAGATTTAGAGTAAACTTTTCATTATAGAGCAAGTAAAAACAGACAAATGAAACAACCTAGTGTTTCACATAAAAATACTTCTGACATAAAGTACCAAGAGCAGTGTGAATATACTTGGCATAGTCAAAAAAGAAAATACATTTAATATTAGTTCAAAATTGTTAAAAATACCTTTAGAAGGTCTAGTCTATTATTGAAAACTCAATTTTTTCACTTATATGGCTTTAAAATGGAGCTATTTTGCTACAATATAATGTATTGTTTATTTTTTTAAGTTATTTAATGTTAATATACATAGCTAGACTTAAGGTTTTTCAGAAAGATGTCCATAATAAATATTAAAAACAATGGTATTTTTTAAAAAACTGCCTTAGGGTTTTAAAACCTTCCCTACAGTTATAACCACGTGTAATTTTGTGGAAATGATATAACAGCTATTAATACTACTATAACATAGGCATAAATATTTTCGTGTTTATATGCATATACAAGTTAAAATAATTAGAAACTATGACTGCGCCTAGTAAAGTCATCTAGGTTTATAGTTCAGTAGCTTAGGCAAGGCACACACTGCTCATCTCCGCTTTTTAGGGTCAGAGGAACACAAGCTCATGTTCTGAGTGAAGGGCGTACACTGGCACCTGGTGTTGCCTAGATCCCCCATCTCCTCCTTCCAGCCAGGTCTGGAAGTTTCAACAGCCCAAGCTTAACTTCATGTAAAGTCTTCACTGCCAGTGGGAACATCTTTGACACAACAAGACACTCCAATTGTGATTTGAGTTGAGGATCTCTGCCTGCCTTCCTGCCGTCCTTCCTTCTTCCCCGATCCATGCTACTTTTAGGGGCTGCGGAGAGCAGCAGCAGAGCTGAGTAATGATACAGGGCACCACGGAGAGAAAGTAGAACCATTTCACTCCTGGGAAGATGGGGTATTTCCCACTTCCAGCAACGAAATAACAAATGAAAAGTTGCATACTTATTGATGTATTGTATGAGCCAGTAGCATTTTATGTACAAAACAGAAGTCAATGCAACAGTATGTATGTGTGCCTGTGTGTGTATAAAAATAACCATTGAAGCTAACTTGCTAATGTACTTAGGCAAGCCACTTCCCATCTCTGGGCCTCGTCTTTCCTCCCTCTAAAATCAAAGAGCTGAATTATGTGATCCTTGAGGTCTCTTCCACTTATAATACCAACTGTCTTGTCAGACTGGCAAATTATATTGGCCTCTCCTTATGTGGTGGTTTTTTTGGTAGGTCATAGTTCCTTATACACAGACACCTGCATCATCGAAGGTCTTTTTTTCCTAAAAAAAAAAAATGGGATTTTAGTTCTTATTCTGTGATAACTATCCTCCTCATATAATACTATTCTTTTTGACACCATTTGAAGGAACCAATATTTGGACCTTATTTTGAGGTTGTCTGTCTCGAAGAAAAAGAAAATAAAATGTATAGGCAGGGTTCCTTCAATTGGCATTTTCCCCAGAATTGTGAGCCAAAGCCTATAGTAATTGCAGACAGCAAATGATTCCGGATCTCTAAAAGGCTCTCTCAGATGAAAAGGGAGTAAAGGAAAAAAGAGGTCAACCACTGTTTCTGATAATGTACTTGAGTTTCATTGTTCTTTTAGTTTGTATTCTTATAAAAAATGTTTACACTCTGCAGATTGATTTTTTTTTTTTAGTACTGTGGCTTTCTTTTCCTATTTTATGAAAAAAATGATAATCTTTTTGTAAAATTGTCTGTGAAATATAAACATTAATATATAAAGAAAAACCTTGAAGTGCTGTATAGTGAAGTATAAATTAATGTTTTATTGATTTGTGAAGAATTTAAGACTATTATATAATTATCTTGGTGGATCTATTTTATGCATGACCTTTTAACCTTTGACTTTGCTTATTTCCCACTACGAAGGGGAAGGTAGATTTTATGAATGATTTTAATAGCAAATATATTTTATAAAGTGAAAATCCAGTGTGGAGGTAGCAAAGCATCTATCTATTCTGAATCATGTTTGGAAATAAAATTGCTCCATCTGGGAATGTGCTTTCATTTTCCCGTCTCATTTTCTGTTTCCCATTTGAAAACAGTGTTCTCTTCTCTTCTTTCTGTATGCCAAATTGCCAGCCACAATTCTTTCCCAATCTTCTGCCCAGTGGAGTACTCCAGCTGTCTTTCCTTTAGAGAGGTGGTTCAGTGGCCTCCTTGATGACATTTGTTTCATGTCTGGATACAGTATGTGTTGCCCTCCTTTGGACTGGCTAGAATATTCATAAAAGCCAGGCAGGCCCTGGGACTATTTTGGGACCTTCAATACACATGTTAGGAAAAGGATGATCATAATGCCAAGAGTTTGAGCTGAATTGTTTCAGCCAAAGCATCACTATCACTGAAGGCAGGTTCTCAAACTGACCTTGTCATTACAAATAAATCTAATTTCACACTTGAGTTTATTATGCTTAGTTTATGTCAATACCAGAGGAATTTATAAAACTTTTTTTCAGAGTGAATTGTTTATATTCTAAATGATCCACATACAAGTGTGTAAATTTGGTTTTCCTATTCTGTTATAGTTACTTTCATGTCCCCTAACAAAACCTCTTGGTGTGTGGTTATATTTGGCTGGATGGATCCCCAAACAGCTCCAACACATCTCCTTTGGGGCATTTAAATGTAAACTGTATGTGTGTTTTAATATTGCTTTCTTGTTATTTTCATTCTCTTTATCCCCTATGTTTTTAATTTTTTTTATAACTCAGATTTTCTAATGGACCCCCTATTGAAACATCTAGAAGATACAGATATCAGTACCAGATGTCTCAAATCCAAAAGACTGGAAATGTAAATATGATTTCTAATAGGCACACATGGTAGCTCAGTGCTGTCAGTACATTTTGTGTCATCAGAGTGAGAGAGGTTGGTGACAGCATTTGCACGCGTCTTCATTTGAAAGGCTCCTCTCCCACATTTTCTCATGGCTGACTCATTGTTGGCATCTTAGATTAAATGCCCCCGCCTCAGAGAAGTCCATCTCAGCCAGCCAGTCTGCCCAACCCTCCCAATCACCACCACTGTCCCCATCCCCTGGCCCTCTCATCTGATTGCGACACTGATTGTTGCTGTTCCATCTCACTTCTGATGATCATGTCTGTATGTATGTGCTTGTTTTCTTTTCTCCCCGTGCTTATTTGTAAGCTCCACAAGGGCAGGAACTTTGTCTTTCTTGGCCTTTCCTGTTTTCTCAGCACTTAAAACAGGGCACACAGTAGACTTTGAAAAAACGATTTTGAAGCCTCCTTCCTGAGTGTGTTTCTTCGCTGTAACTGCCATTTGCCATGTTCTTCTCTTTTTGCGGGGAGTGAGAGGGAGAGGACATGGTCTGAGTCTCGCTCTGTCACCCAGGCTGGAGTGTAGTGGCATGATCTTGGCTCACTGAAACCTTCGCCTCCCAGGTTCAAGCAATGCTCCTGCCTCACGATCCTGAGTAGCTGGGATTACAGGCACGTGCCACTGTGCCTGGCTAATTTTTGTATTTATTAGAGATGGGGTTTCACCATGTTGGCCGGGCTAGTCTTGAACTCCTGACCTCAAGTGATCCACCTGCCTCAGCCTCCCAAAGTGCTGGGATTACAGGTGTGAGCCACCGCACCTGGCCTGAGTGGTTTTTTTAAAGTTGATTTTGAATAAGTCCTCACCAAGAAAAATTAAACTTATAAGAATTGGGGTATTATTACCCTTCTTCTTTAAGAAGTAAGTTATGTCAAATATAATTAAGACTAAAAAGTAAATATTTCCAAACAAAATGAAACAACTGAAAGGAAGCCCTGTTTTTAACTACCAAATTTTAAAGCAAAAAATGCTTTTGAGTGAAGTTCTTTTTGCTTTTTGCACAACTCATGTCTGTTCTAAATTTTTCTCAGCAGATAGTTTTTGCTATGTTGAATAAACCATTGTAAACTGCACTAAAAAAATGACCTATCTAACATATTCTATAAGTGTTCCACGGAATTTTTTTTTTTTAAGAGATGGGGTCTCACCATGTAGCCCAGGCTGGTCTCAAACTCCTAGGCTCAAGTAATCCTCCCACCTTAGCCTCTCAAAGTGCTGAGATTATAGGCGTTAGCCACTATGCCCAGCCTGAAGTCAATTTTAGAGTTTGAGAATTTTTGTTTTTGTTTTTGAGACGGAGTCTCGCTCTGTCGCCCAGGCTGGAGTGCAGTGGCGCAATCTCGGCTCACTGCAAGCTCCGCCTCCCGGGTTCACGCCATTCTCCTGCCTCAGCCTCCAGTAGCTGGGACTACAGGCGCCCGCCACGACGCCCGGCTAATTTTTTGTATTTTTTAGTAGAGACGGGGTTTCACCATGTTAGCCAGGATGGTCTCGATCTCCTGACCTCGTGATCCGTCCACCTCGGCCTCCCAAAGTGCTGGGATTACAGGCGTGAGCCACCGCGCCGGGCCTAGAGTTTGAGAAATTTTAACCAGACAAGCCAATCTACCACGTTTTTTTTTGTGTGTTTTTTTTTTTAATGAGATAGAGTCTCACTGTGTTGCCCAGGCTGGAGTGCAGAGGCACGATCTCGGCTCACTGCAAGCTCCGCCTCCCAGGCTCACGCCATTCTCCTGCCTCAGCCTCCCGAGTAGCTGGGACTACAGGCGCCTGCCACGATGCCCGGCTAATTTTTTGTATTTTTAGTAGAGACGGGGTTTCACCGTGTTAGCCAGGAAAATCTCGATCTCCTGACCTCGTGATCCACCTGCCTCAGTCTCCCAAAGTGTTGGGATTACAGGCGTGAGCCACTGCGCCCGGCCAACAGCAATCTACCACTTTTAAGATGTGGTTTTCCCTTTTTGTTTTCATTATTTTTTTAATAGAGAAAATGTTTTTCATTCCAGTTAAATTCATGAAATCAAGAAATAATACTTATTTTGCTTAGCTGCAGGTTAACGTTATTTTAAGTATTGTACTTTAAGATAAATGGTTTACTAAGCTGAGTAACAACTCTCCTGCTTACGTCATTTCCACCAGTCTCACAGAATGAAGTTAACTTCCTTCTGGATAAAGCCAGTGTTTCTATTTGTGTCCTTAATCCAATTCATTATTGTCTCACTCAAGGACTTGCTAAAGTACCTCCCTTCTGTCCTGTACCTTTAACTCTCCGTTTCTACTCACTCCTTCCTCTTAGCTCTATAAATACAGTCAAATTTGTCCTCTCAACAAAAAACTCCCCTTTGACTTTTATTTTCCTTCTGGCCCAAACACTGAATTGTCCATAGTTTTAGAAGTTGACAAATATCAACATCACAAAATTCTACTTCATGTGATTTCCATTAAAGAAAAATTTTTGTGTGTGTACACACACACCACATACACCAAAGGAGAGTTTAAAATTATACATGATGCAATAGGGTTTTGGTTATCTATTGCCAAGCAACAAATTATTATGCAACTTGCAATTTAAAACAGTCATTTGTTGTCTCAGAATTCTGGGTGGACTGAGCTTAGCTTGGCGGACCATCTGCTAAACTTGATGTTGCCTGTGACTACAAACTTCAGGGTCCCACTGAGCTAGAACCTCCATGATGGCTCACTACGAGGCTGGCAGTGGTGCTGGCTGTTGGTTGACTGCCTTGGATCTCCTTTACATGGCTTTCCCTTCTGAATTGTAATACTAAAAGCATGGCATCTGGATTCCAAGATAGAACATTCTCAATATGCAAAAGCAAAAAGCTTTGTGTCTTCTAAGGTCCAGATTTGGAAGTTATTCAACATCACTTCCACCATATTCAGTTGGTCAAAGCAAATTATAGGACCAGCCCAGATTTAAGGAGAGGGGAGACAGACACCATCACACAATGGAGGGTGTGATTAAGAGTTTATAGCCTTTTTTTTTTTTTTTTTTTTGAGACAGAGTCTTACTCTGTCACCCAGGCTGGAGTGCAGTGGCGCAATCTCAGCTCACTGCAACCTTTGCCTACTGGATTCAAGCAATTCTCCTGCCTCAGCCTCCCGAGTAGCTGGGACTACAGGCATGCGCCAGCACGCCCAGCTAATTTTTGTATCTTTAGTAGAGGTGGGGTTTCACCATGTTGGCCAGTCTGGTCTTGAACTCCTGACCTTGTGATCCACTCATGTCAGCCTCCCAAACTGCTGGGATTACAGGCATGAGCCACTGTGCCCAGCCTATAGCCATCTTTATTGCACCACAATTCTTTCCAGAGGAGAATTCCATTTTGATTAGTCATTGAAAAGAACAAAATTCTCTTTACATTTTTTATGTCTGATGATTGAGAGAATTTTTCACAGATTGACTCTGACCCCAAACATTTCTAACATTGTTTTTGCTCCACTCTGCTGAAATTTATTTTGCTTAGTGCTATTGAATAAGTTCATATTGCAATACATACGCCCTCCACTTCAGCAGAGTATAGAATGGGATATTCCTGGAAGCTGTTCCTCTCCTGGATAAGTCAGCAATAACTTAACTGAAGCAGCTGCATATAATAAATATATCCTTCTAAACTCAAGCTAAATGTATCCCCAGCTCAATTTTTCCTTAGCGGATCCCCAAAATGCCTGTAGCCATTCCAAGCCATCTAACGTGGAGAATCACAATGGAGGAGAAGTTGTGGTGGGAAGAGTCAGTGATACTAACTGCAGTTAAAAAGTATTTTTACCTATGTGTGTTTTTAAAAAGCAACATCTTGTGTACCTATAAAAGGGGCTTATTCAGATAAAGGGCCCTAAACTCAAGTTTTATGGTAAATATGCTCATGCACAAGATTGAGATTTATACATTCACCCTCCTTCCAGATGTCTCTCCTGAGCCATCCTTAGGCCTACCAGGGCAGCAAGCCTCAATCTAAATGCATTACCTTCTTCCCTGAAGTGCCATTGCATTATATGGTCCCTATGTCATTTGATTGTATCACCTTCTCTTAGGTCTCTAGTTACTCAAGCTAGAATTATAAGTTTTATTTATTTCCTCCAGTCCTTCAACTTTCAATCAATCACCAAGCCCAATCAGTTTTACTTCCTAAATATTTCCCAACACCATTCCCTTTTTTTTCCATCCCTGGACACACTGTTTTACTTGAGTCATCACTTCTTGCCCAAACAATTGCAATAACTCCCTAACTACTTGTCTCCCTCAGTTTCATGTTCCTCAAATGTATCCCCTCCACAGCTGCAAAAACGATGAATTAAAACTCACACCTGACAAGATACTTCTCAGCTTCAAGTCCTGTTGCCTACTGGCAGGTTTCAAGCCACTTAATGTTATGTGCCCGGCTCTCCCTCGTGACCTTGCCCCTGCCCACCTCTGCAGCAGTAGTTCCTTACGTGTGGTCTGGGGACCCCTTGGGGGCCCACAAAATCAAAACTATTTTCATAATACTATGTTATTTGCCTTTGTCACTTTTTCTTTCATGAGTGCACAGCGGAGTCCTCCAGCAGCTACAGACATGTGATGTTGCAACAGATCCAAGGCAGAAGCAGGTGTGAGAATCCAGCTGTCTCTAGTTAAGCTAGACATTAAAGAGATTTGTAGGCCCGGGCGTGGTGGCTCACGCCTGTAATCTCAGCACTTTGGGAGGCCGAGGTGGGTGGATCATCTGAAGTCAGGAGTACAAGACCAGCCTGGCCAACATGGTGAAACCACGTCTCTACTAAAAATACAAAAATTAGCTGGGCGTGGTAGCGCGCACCTGGAGTCCCAGCTACTCGGGAGACTGAGGCAGGAGAATCACTTGAACTCAGGAGGCGGAGGTTGCAGTGAGCCGAGATCGCGCCACTGCACTCCAGCCTGGCGACAGAGCGAGACTCCGTCTCAAAAAAAAAAAAAAAAAAAAAAAAAGATACTTGTAAAAATATAATACAACGCCACATTTTTCACTAATTTGTATTTGAAAAATTCAGGATTTCTTTCGTAAAATAGAGCTTAAGATAACATGTAATTAAATACATTAATAACTACATTTCAAATTTATCAGCTTTAGTCTCCCTCCCTCCCTCCCTTCCTTCCTTCTTTTTTTGTTTGTTTTCCTCAGGGTCTTGTTCTGTTACCCAGGCTGGAGCATGCAGTGCCACAATCTTGGCAAACAGCCTCGACCACCCAGGCTCAAGTGATCCTTCCACCTCAGCCTCCTAAGTAGCTGGGACTACAGGTGCATGCTACCATGCCCATCCAACAGTTTCTTAAAAGTAAATAAACATCGGCCGGGCGCGATGGCTCACGCCTGTAATCCCAGCACTTTGGGAGGCCGAGGCGGGTAGATCACGAGGTCAGGACATCGAGACCATCCTGGCTAACAGGGTGAAACCCCGTCTCTACTAAAAATACAAAAAATCAGCCGGGCGTGCTGGCGGGCGCCTGTAGTCCCAGCTACTCTGGAGGCTGAGGCAGGAGAATGGCGTGAACCTGGGAGGCGGAGCTTGCAGTGAGCCGAGATCACACCACTGCACTCCAGCCTGGGCGACAGAGCGAGACTCCGTCTCAAAAAAAAAAAAAAAAAAAAAAAAAGTAAACATCAATAAATGAAGCCCACATAAACAAAAGCTCTTCGTGGGGGAGGGGGAAGGGTCCTCAATAATGTTTAAGATTGTAAAGTCCTGAGACTGAAAAGTTTGAGAGCTGCTGCTCTGTAGCATCCTCTCCTGGCCGTCCCTGCACATCGTGCTGTGGTACAGCTAGCCAACCCGGAACTTATTACCGCGGTTCTGTTCGTGTTCCGCACATGCGCCATGTTCTCTTACCGAACACCCTTCCTTCTCCTTAGAGTGCTTTTCACTGTTCTTGTATTTCTTTGCCAGCCTCCTCCAGGAGCCTTTCCTAACTCCTTTCTCAGGAGGATTTAGGGGTCGTTCCTCGGGTCTCACACTGCACTCCACACATGACATGGTAATTGTCTGCAGGTAGGTCTGACTCCCTCACAAGACTAGGACCCTTGATGTGGGGGTCACGTCAGCCTCACCTCTGTGACCCCAATGCCTGACATGGTGCCTCTTATAAGCGCTCAATAAATCTTTGATGAACAACCAACTGTATCATTCTTCTTCCTATTAACAACGCATAGTTTTCAGGATATGTAAAATAATGCCTGATACTTTTGTATATATTCGCTTATTTATATTCCTGAGATAAAATATCTGGGGCTTTCTTTCCTGCATGAGTTTTCTTTCTACTAATGTATTGAAAATCTTATTTGGTTAAAGAGTGAAATTCCAAAGCCTATAATATAATAGACATTTAAAAATTTAAAGCCATTGCCAGTAGAGGGCGCCTTGAAAGTCAACGACGTTCGCCATCCCATACACTGCGGTTTGTGTTTTGTGTTTCATCTGGATTCTTTTTCTTTTCTTTTCTTTTCTTTTTTTTTTTTTACAAAAAAGAAAGAAAAGATTTATCAATAGCTTTCTTGTACTTTTTGTAAAAGGTCAATAAAAGTCATAGTTCATCACAGGATTAAGTTGGGTTGTTTTTTATAAAATAGAATTGAAAATTCTCATAACTACCTGATTAAAAAAATGACTGAGTTCTCAAAACAAACAAAACAGGACTTGCATTAATCCTTTGTTGAAATATGACTCACCTCTCTGCTTGCCAAAGTGTTTTATTTTTTTTTAACATGCTTTTATTCAAGGTAGATATTTGCCATCCCTTTGCAGAAAGGCTGACAGAACAGTGGTGGTCTGCATTTTTGAGGGACCGTTTAGTGTAGCAGGAAATATACGACCTTTATCTTTTCATTCTGTTTGCTGGCAAACCCCAGGCACCCAGCACTGCATTATAGAAAAACTGCCTTTGAAAACAACAAATAAGGCAGGGAGGGGTGGCCTTCAAAAGCTGGGGCACAGGTTCCAGCAAACAACATCCAGCCACGATGTTTGTGGAACTGCCATATTTTTAAAAACAGACATAAAATGATTAAGAAGGAAAACCTCACCATTCATTTCATGTAGAAGAGAGGAAATATCATGAACTAAAATTTGGGAAACTGTAATCCCAGTTCCAGCTCTGCCAGTAAATATCTCGGTAAATTTAAGTTTTTATTGGGGTTTTGTGTTCCCCATCTTAAAAGTCATTTTATCTAAACCTCTTTCTTACTCCCCCCAAATACTTGAAACAGCTTATAATTAAACAAAAAATATAATGAAATTGTGACACAGAAATAGTAGCTCTGTATTAGTGTGTTTTCACACTGCTATAAAGAATACCTGAGACTGGGTAATTTATGAACAAAAGAGGATTAATTGACTCACAGTTCTGCGTGGCTGGGGAGGACTCAGGAAACTGACAATCATGGCAGAAGGTGAAGGGGAAACAAGGCACATCCTACATGGTGGCAGGAGGGAGAGAAGAGCACAAAGGGGCAAGAGTCTCACACTTATCAAACAACCAGATCTTGTGAGAGAACTCCCTTATTATCATGAGAACAGCATGGGGGAACCACCCCCATGATCAAATCACCTCCCACCAGGTCGCTCCCTCAACACCTGGGGATTACAATTTGGATTACAATTAAAAATGAGATTTGGGTGGGGATACAGAGCCAAACCATATCAGGCTCATAGCCAAGGAAATGAACAAAAATATGCTAACTAGAAAAATCAGTTTATGTGGTTGAACTTCCAGTTTGGCCCTGAGGACCCTGGCAGTCAAGGCAAAAAGTAGAAAATTTAGTCAGTGACTCAGTCTTTATTTTAAACAGGAAGAAGTCTTCTAATTTCTCAGAGTTGATCATCTTTCTTTATCAATAAATTCTAAAAGAAAATCCCGACATGTGACCTACTGAATAATGTCCTCAATTATTTTAAAGCAATACAGCAGGAACTTTCACGTAACTATTTATTTAATGAACCTCAATGAGAACTGTGGACGTGACTTTAAACATCAGTGTAACCATATATTGAATCAATAAAAGTAACAGTGTTTGTCCTACTACTTGTCTCTAAGGACTATTAAAAATAAAGCTGTAGAAGGGCAATTTAAAAAGGTTTGAGTTAAACCAAAGTCAAATGTTAGATATTGTCAAATATATCCCTGGATGTGTATTGATGATAAGATAATCTGCTTTCTGATTTTCTTTTATTGGGGCTCATGGAAAAAAAGAAAATGTTATAGGTGCATATGAAAATTATTAAAGATTGGCTGGGTGTGGTGGCTCATGCCTGTAACCCCAGCACTTTGGGAGGTCGAGGTGGGTGGGTCACCTGAGTTTGGGAGTTCAAGACCAGCCTGACCAACATGGAGAAACCCCGTTTCTACTAAAAATACAAAATTAGCCAGGCGTGGTGGTGCATGCCTGTCATCCCAGCTACGCAGGAGGCTGAGGCAGGAGAATCACTTGAACCTGGGAGGCAGAGGTTGTGGTGGGCTGAGATCATGCCATTGCAGTCCACCCAGGGCAACAAAAGAAAAATTCCATGTCAAAAACATTTTAAAAAATCAAGAAAATTATTAAAGGTTATACAGAAAGTTGTTAATTCATTACCTCTGAGGACTGGGAACAGAGATCTTAAGGGAAGAAAAACTTTTTTCCCCCAGTTTGCTACTCTCTGAAACATTTGAATTTTTTATTAAAAAAATTTTTCTGGAGACAATGTCTGGCTATGTTGCCCAAGCTGGAGCACAGTGACTATTCATCGGCATGATCATTGTGCACTACAGCTTCAAACCTGTGGCCTTGAGTGAACCTCCCACCTCGGCCTCCCCAGTAGCTGGCCAAGTGTGCACCCCTGCACCTGGCTTTGAATTTTTCATGATGATTTATTATTTCTTATTTTAAAAAGGGAAAGAAAAGCTGGTTTACCCATAACTAATACTCTGTACAAAATCTACAAAAGGACACAAAATTTGCATTTTAGTTTTCTTTTAGTCATGATTTAGTTCATCACTTGGCAAGCTATCTCTTGCAAAAAGCACTCACTCAAGATAGCTTAAGTAGAGTGAGGTTTATCATAGGGATACAACCAAAAATCTCCTGGACATCCAAGATCACAAAATAAAGGAAAGCTTTCCCCTCAGAGAGCTTGATACAGAAAATTCAAGACCCAGGCTATTTCCTCTTCCTCTCCATGTATCAGAAATGTATAAAAACAAACCAATTATGGATGGGGCATGGCACCTATTACTGACTTAACATTGTTTCTTAAGTCAGTGGTTTTTTTTTTGTTGTTGTTGTTGTTGTTTGTTTGCTTTTTGATTTTTTGAAACAGGGTATGGTTCTGTCGTCCAAACTGGAGTGCAGTGGTGCAGTCATGGCTCACTGCAGCCTCAACCTCCTGGACTCAAGCAATCTTCCCACCTCAGCCTCCCAAGTAGCTAGGACTACAGGCATGCACCACAAGTCCAGCTAATATTTTTATTTTGTAGAGACAAGTTCTCACCATGCTGCCCAGACTTAGTGTTTCTCAAAGGTTAACTGGCATATGAATTACTTGGGGACCTTGTTAGATTGCAGATTCTAATTCAGTAGGTCTAGATGGCCAGAGAGTCTAATTTTCTAATAAACTCCCAGGGATTTCCCTAATGCTGCTGGTCAGCTGACCACACTTTGAGTAGCAAGGCCTTACTGCACTTTGTTTTTTTTTTTTTTTTGAGAGGGAATCTGATTGGTTGCTAGCCAGCCAATAAATTGGTTGAGTGCAATCATCTGGGTCCTGCTCATATGCCCAATTAGTGGGAGCTATGGTTGGAAGTAGAGTCTCAGAATGAGAGACACGAGTGGGCAGGCAGCTCAAAAAAGATCAAACATTATACCCTTATCTGCATCCAAAGTTGCCACAAACATGAGCCAGCTATGAACAACAGAAAACCCTCTCTCCCTGTTGCAAACCTGCAACAACTCTGAGGAAAGTGGGGGGCTGCCTTCAGACTGATTCCAGGTTGTTGCAGGTTTGGAATAGGGAGAAAGGGTTTTCTGTTGTAAGTAGCTGGATCTTCCCCTAGGACCTCTGTTCCCAATCCTCAGCGGTAACCAGTTAACCCTCTAGGTGATATGCATTCTAACTTCTGGCTTGTTGTAATCTATTCCAGGTGTCTCCAGCTGATGGTGTAAGCAGAGTGTATTAGTTTGTTTTCACACAGCTGATAAAGACATATAGGAGACTAGGTAATTTATACAGAAAAAGAAGTTTAATGGACTCACAGTTCCACATGGCTGGGGAGGCCTTGCAATCATGGCAGAAGGTGAAGGCATGTCTTACATGGTGGCAGACAAGAGAGAATGATGAGAGCCAAGTGAAAGGGGAAACCCCTTATAAAAATATCAGCTCTCATGAAATTTATTCACTACCACTAGAACGGTATGGAGGAAACAACCCCCATGATTCAATTATCTCCCACGGGGTCCCTCCCAAAACATGTGAGAATTGTGGAAACTAGAATTCAAGATGAGATTTGGATGGGGACACAGCCAAACAATATCACAGAGGTAGTCACGTGTAAGATGCTGCCCCAGAGATTCTGATTCAGTGAGTCCAGTTTAGGGCCTGAGCACTGGGATTCTGAACAAGTTCCAAGGGTCATTCTGATGTATTGATATACCCCAGTTTGAGACCCACTGGACTGAATTTTTAAAAAATATTGCTTTGCATTGGGGTGGAGGTGTAGGGGGTAGTGGATGGGGTTCCTCACATAAAAATGCATATGTAATCATGTTACGTCAGTGGTTTTCAAATCCTCTGGAGGGCTTCTTAAAACACAGATTGTTAGTCCTACCCCAAAAGTTTCTGATTCAGTAGGTCTGGGGTGGGACTCAATGATTTACATTTTAACAAGGACTCAAGTGATGTTGCTGACCTATGCTGCTGTATTGTGAGAGCCCCTGTGTTATGTGAAGCTGCTACTGATGATCACCTGCTTCATAAACAGGATTGGTGGAAATAGTGTATGTAAACATTTATAAAATGGTTTAGAGCTATGAAAAATGTGACACAGTACTTGGTGAATTACTCAGAGAAATGAATAGAAAATGATTTCTATTATGGCTTTTTATATTTTTCCTTTTTTTGCGGGGGGGACAGGGTCTCACTCTGTCGCACAGGCTGGAGTACAGTGGTGCCATCTCGGCTCACTACAACCTCCACCTCCTGAGTTCAAGTGATTCTCCCACCTCAGCTTCCTAAGTAGCTGGGACTACAGGTGCATGTCACCATTCCTGGCTAGTTTTCGTATTTTTTGGTAGAGAGGAGTTTCACCATGTTAGCCAGGCTTCCCTCAAACTCCTGACCCCAAGTGATCCACCTGCATTGGCCTCCCAAAGTGCTGGATTACAGGCATGACCCACCATGCCCGGCCTAATTTTTTAAGGATCTAAGATAGAAAGGCCCACCTGAGGTGCATTATATTCTCCCTGCACATGAGGAGCATAAGTCAAGTCCAGATGGGAAGGTGATGGCAAGCTCAAACAGGCCCATTTGAGGAGCATTTAATATAGGGACTCTGTGCAGAGATGTGGGCACAATTAAGGAAACCAACAAGAGGCAGTACAATGCTCTGTGACTAGTAGTAACAGGCATCCTCATCGAGGCCTGGTAAGACAAAGAAGGGAATTATTCCCCACTCTAAGAGAGGGTAGCTATGTAAGGAAAGCCTGGAGGCAGCCGTATAAACCAACAGAGAAGCAGGCATGAAAACAGGTTCTCCAAACTTCATTCTCTGATATGGTTTTGTTCGGTTTTGCCACCATATCTCTGTTTGAATTATAATCCCCATTGTTGGAGGTAGGGTCTGGTGGAAGGTGACTGGATCATAGATTTGGATTTCTCATGAAGGATTAACACCATCCCCTTGATGCCATTCTCGTGATAGTGAGTGAGTTCTTGTGAGATCTGGTTGTTTAAAAATGTGTAGCACTGGCTGGACACGGTGGCTCACGCCTGTAATCCCAGCACTTTGGGAGGCTAAGGCAGCTGGATCATCTGAGGTCAGAAGTTCGAGACCCACCTGGCCAACATGGTGAAACCTCATCTCTACCAAAAATACAAAAATTAGCTGGGCATGCTGGTGGGTGCTTGTAATCTCAGCTATTCGGGAGGCTGAGGCAGGAAAATTGCTTGAACCCAGGAGGCAGAGGTTGCAGTGAGCCGAGATCACACCACTGCACTCCAGCCTGGACAACAGAGCGAGACACTGTCTCAAAAAAAAAAAAAAAGTGTGTAGCACCTCCCCCAACTTGCTCCTGCTCCAGCCATGTGACATGCTCTCTGCCCCTTGGCCTTCTGCCATGATTGTAAGTTTCCAGAGGCCTCCCCAGACACAAATGCCACTATGCTTTCTGTACAGTCTGCAGAACTGTGAGCCAATAAAACCCCTTTTCTTATAAATTACTCTGTCTCAAGTATTTCTTTATAGCAATGCAAGAATGGTATAATACATTCTCTTTCTGACTTCATTCTTCTGCCATTGCCTCCATGTTCTAAACAGAAACTAGGGTAGCTTGTTTGTGCAGGCCATATCGGTCAGACTCTGGGCCCACAGCAGGGCAGAGTACTGCGGGATGGATCTGGAAGGGCAAATAGAAGATATCCAGCCTGCAGGGCCTGTAGACTGAACCCCACATCTAATGCTTTGCACCCTATGGTTCACCAGCACAGATAATGAAATGGTGCCAATTGTAATCCCAAAAAACACAATCCCAGATGCCACCATCCCGAATGTCAAAATCCCCAAATCCTTAATTTCTAACTGAATCCCTAAACCATAGTGACAGATTTGAAATTAGGTGCAATCAAGGCCTCTAAAAGTGAATTTCAAGGTGTCACCAATAAAGTGTGCTTTTACTGTTCAGCCCAATGCATTTGGCAGAAAATTCAGATGAGTGGATTGACCACATGATATGGCAATGACAAAAACATCGGTTTAAAATCACATTATTGGCCAGGCGTGATGGCGTGCGCCTGTAATCCCAGCACTTTGGGAGGCCAAGGAGGGCGGATCACAAGGTCAGGAGATCGAGACCATCCTGGCTAGCACCACGAAACCCCATCTCTACTAAAAATACAAAAAATTAGCTGGGCATGGTGGCGGGCGCCTGTAGTCCCAGCCACTCGGGAGGCTGAGGCAGGAGAATGGCGTGAACCTGGGAGGTGTAGCTTGCAGTGAGCCGAGATCGTGCCACTGCACTCCAGCCTGGGCAACAGAGCGAGACTCTGTCTCAAAAAATAAATAAATAAATAAAAACACATTGTTTATCTGCATTGGCATTCCTTCCAGCTGATGAAACTCCAGTAGCTTTTAATGAATTAATGCCACATTTGCTTGAAGGAGCCAGCAAAGTTATGGACTGGTTGACAAATAATTCTGTGAACAGTAGGCTAAGAAAACACTTATGTAATAGTGTTGCTGTTCAATCTCCAGTAATGTTTACAGCAAATTTGTGGTCTGTATATGAGTGCATGTGGAATGAATTGCGTGCCTCTAAAACAACATAGAAGCATGTCACAGAAGATGGAAAATTTAATAGGGAATGCTCATATCAGTGCATATGAAATCATAAAAGAATTTCAAAAGGAGCAGCACCAGGTAGAAAATGAAAGTGAATGTATTCTCCAAAAGAGTCATGCCCTAAAAAAGAAAGCAGCTGTTCACCACAATATGCAAGACTTGCAAACATATGAAGGGACTTTACAAATATTATGGGAAATGCATCTTATGAAAACAACTACACATGGATTTCAATTTTTTTCCACCAAAATTAACTCATACTAACTTGTTGTAATGTGTCTAAACAGGATCTAGTTTGAGGCACTAAGAAGGAATAAGACATCAGTTTGAAAAGAGCCCCTATCAGAACAACATGAATTCTGCTAAAATTGAAGCAAGAACAAATATCAAATGTATGTTAATGTTTGGGTGGAAGAATTGTGAAATCACTGATATTTCATGGAAAGTTTATGGGGACAATGCCCCAAAGAAATTAGTAGTTCACAAATGGATAACTCATTTTAAGAAGGGAGACGACAATGTTGAATATGAGGCCCGCTGCTGCAGACCATCCACATCAGTTTGTAAAGAAAAAGTCTTGTTTGTGCCCCACTGGAAGCGGACTGACTATTTTAACAGCAGGAACAATAGCTGACACCGTAGACATCTTGATTAGTTTAGTTTACACAAATGTGATTGAAAAATTAAAGTTGAGCAAACTTTCCATTCAATGGGTGCCAAAATCATTGTGCTGGCAGCAGCGGGCCGTCCCAAGCGGCCCAGGCTGCAGTGAGGAGACATGGGCAGTGGCCACAGGAGCAGCAGTGGTGGTGGTGGGACCCCTGGCCCTGCATCACCACTCTTGCCTGCCACCACTATGGGGAGGGTGCAGGGAGGAGGCAGACAATCCCTGGAGTCTGCCCCTGGGAGTTTCCCAGGAGCCCACTGCCCTAGGGGCCACCATGATGGGGCTGGCTGAGCCACCTGCCAGCGAGAGAACAGCATGCTTGGGTGTGGCAGTGGCTCCCAGGAAGCCCCGAGGTGTTGGCGCCCCCACCGCTGCCCCTCACCCATGCTGCTCACATTGAGGCCTGCTGCTGCTGCCAGGGCCAGGGATGCCCTGGTCCTCCCATGAGCTATGTAGTCCTTCCTGGAGCCAGGGCACAGCCACAGCAGTTTGGCCACACCCCCACCCCACCTCAAGCCAGAGTCAGTGCCTGCATCACAACCTGCCCCTCAGGCAGGACTGCCAGGGACCACAGTGCCCTGCAGCTGCCAAGTATATAAGTGCAGCAAGAGGCCAGAGCGAGTGGCCAGAGAGGGACCCAGTGAGGACCTGGAGCCCTTGCCCCAGACTGTAAGGAAGTGTGGCCAGGGCTGCACACTCCATGGAGCTGGTGGTAGCCAGGGACAAGTGGGAGCCCGCCCCTTTGGAATTGGTGGGGTGGAAGCTCTCTGGGTACAGCTGCAGCCGCCCTGCTGCCACTCTGGACCTGGGCATCTCTGTGCTCTTGGGGGCCCAGGAAATTTCCCCTTATCCCTCCCTGCTCCACCCCTTGAGGTTCAGAAGTGACTGCTCCCACTGCCTGATTTCTCCCCACTGTCATCACCTGATCTGATCTCAGAGCAAGGATGACACCAAGACTGGGTGCTTTCACAGCCTGGCTGGGTGTGCACATGCTTGGGGCAGCACTTACATGCCAGCTTCCTGCTGTCTCAGCCCCCTCCTGATGTTGTGCACTGACAAGCATGGGAGGGAGGCCAAGGTAGTGCTGAGGACAGCCTGGCACTGGCCTGCAGATACTCTTTGGCATGAACAGCCTGGGCACCATGAATAGTGGCAGGAAGCAGGCTCCAGGGCAGAAGAGGGCTGGTCCCCAGTGAAGCCCCACCTTTAAGCCGGGGAGGGCTGGAAGGCTGGGGCCACCATCGCCAGTCCCTCGGGCCAGAGGAGGAACTTGTGGTGCTTTTCCTTGGGCCTGCCCATGGCCACCCATGGACAAATCAGCAAGTACTTCCTTCCCTCTGAGGCCCATAAAAAGCCCAGACTCAGCCAGACTTGGGGAGAGAACAGGAAGATCATAGAAGATGAGGGGACCTGCCTGCAGAGAGAAGCCACCCACTCTAGGACCTTCTCCCTGCTGACAGCTGCAGAGATGATGGGCCTGCCTGTCTGCAGAGAGGAGCTATTCACTCTAGGGCCTCCTCTCTGCTGTAAGCTGAACACTCAACGGGATGACCTGCCTGCAAAGAGGAGCTCCCTACTCTAGGGTCTCCTCTCTGCTAGGAGCTGAACACTCATCAGGACACCCTGGCTGAGGAAACGAGATACCCCATGTGGGTTTCCTCTGGGCTGTTCTATCCTCAATAAAGCTCCTCTTTGTCTTGCTCACCCTCCACTTGTCTGCATACCTCATTCTTCCTGGTTGCAGGACAAGAACTTGGGCCCCACCAAATGGCGAGGCTAAAAGAGCTGTAACACAAGCAGGGCTGAAACATGCCCCACAAACAGGGCTGAGACAAGACCCTGGCTCGCCATGTTATGGGCAAAGAGAAGGAGAGAAAAGCTGCGGCCCTTCAGGGACCCCAGACCTGGGAGCATCCTGAGCCAGGACTATGACTCCCTCTTTGGGGCCCTGCAGTTCCTGGCATCTCCAAGCTACTGGGCACCACTCATTCCCCAGTGCCAGCTGGGGAAGCTACTTGTGGTGCGCCTGGTACAGCTGCAGGCTCGCAGAGAGCTGGCACCCATGCTGGCACCTGGAGCTGCCTGCCCCATGGTAGCAACAGCGTGTCTGACTGTGCAGTGGCCAGACCCCATGCTCACTCACACACCCCTCACCATTCCACACCTGACTTGCAGTCTCCTTGGAGGGGTGAGGTCCAGGCTGGTAGCGTGAGCTGAATGCAGCCTGCCAGGCCAAGTGGGTGGAATGAGCCCAGCAGTCCTGAGCAAAACCTAGGCAAAGGCGCCACCAGCCACAGATGTTTCTGGCCAGAAAAGCAACATGCGCATAGCTGCAAACCAGAGCAGAGCTTTCAATGGAAATTTTTTAAAAGTGAGATTGAGATTCTCAAGTATTTCTTCAAAGCATTGTAACAGGAGAAGAACTGTGGCTTTACCAGTGTGATCCTGAGGACAAAGCACAATCACAGCAGTGGCTACCAAGAGGTGAAAGTGGTGCAGTCAAAGCACAAGCAGCCTGGTCAAGGGCCAAGGTCATGGCAATAGTCTTTGGGATGTGCTAGGCATTCTGCTTGTTGACTTTCTGGAGGGCAAAAAAATGATAACATATGAAAATGTTTTCAGAAAGTTAGCTAAAGCTTTAGTAGAAAAATATCCAGGCAAGTTTCAACAGAAAGTCCCTCTCCACCACAACAATACTGCTGCTTATTCAGAGGAATAACCCTCACTAAATAAGGGCAATTTTGTGAGATTTTAAATGGGAAATAATTAGGTATCCACCTTAGAGTTCTGACTTGGTTCCTTCTGACTTCTTTTATTTCCTAACTTTAAAAAATCTGGCCAGGCGTGGTGGCTCATGCCTGTAATCCCAGCACTTTGGGAAGCTGAGGTGGGAGGATCAAGAGGTCACGAGATCGAGACCATCCTGGCTAACACGATGAAACCCTGTCTCTAATAAAAAAAAATACAAAAAAATTAGCTGGGCGTGGTGGTGGGTGCCTGTAGTCCCAGCTACTCGGGAGGCTGAGGCAGGAGAATGGTGTGAACCCAGGAGGCAGAGCTTGCAGTGAGCCGAGATTGCGCCACTGCACTCCAGCCTGGGCGATAGAGCGAGACTCTGTCTCAAAAAAAAAAAAAAAAAAAAAAAAAAAAAAAATCTGTAAAGGGCAGCCATTTTTCTTCAGTTAATAATGTAAAAATGGTGACAGTGACATGGTTAAATTCTCAGGACCCTCAGTTCTTTAGGGATGAACTAAATGGTGGGTATTATTGGTTACAAAAATGTCTTGACCTTGATGGAGCTTATATTGAGAAATAAAGTTTATATTTTTGTTTTTATCTTTAAGTTCCATTTTTCTATGAACTTTTTGAAGTCTCTTCATAGTAAATGACCTTAAACCCTCCTGGGTTTAAGCAATTCTCCTGCTTCTGCCTCTGGAGTAGCTGGGATCATAGGTGTGCACCACCACACCCGGCTAATGTGTGTGTGTCTGTGTGTGTGTGTATTTTTATATTTTTAGTAGAGATGAGGTTTCACCATGTTGGCCTGGCTGGTCTCAAACCCCTGACCTCGTGATCCACCTGCCTCAGCCTCCCAAAGTGCTGTGATTACAGGCATGAGCCATCGCGTCTGGCCCCGTTAATTAATTTTTAAATGTGGAAATAGCCTTTCATACCCGGGATAAATCTCACTTGGTTGTAATATATAATTCTTTTTATACATTGTTGAATTCAATCTGATAATATTTATTTATTTATTTATTTATTTATTTATTTATTAAAAGGAGTTTCGCTCTTTTTGCCCAGGCTGGAGTGCAATGGCGTGATCTCGGCTCACTGCAACCTCCACCTTTCCTTTTCATTCTATGAGGCCACCATCACCATAATACCAAAACTAGACAAAGGCATTAAAGAAAACTATAGACCGGCCGGGCGCGGTGGCTCACGCCTGTAATCCCAGCACTTTGGGAGGCCGAGGCGGGCGGATCACGAGGTCAGGAGATCGAGACCATCCTGGCTAACATGGTGAAACCCCGTCTCTACTAAAAATACAAAAAATTAGCCGGGTGTGGTAGCGGGCCCCTGTAGTCCCAGCTACTCGGGAGGCTGAGGCAGGAGAATGGCGTGAACCCGGGAGGCGGAGCTTGCAGTGAGCCGAGATCGCGCCACTGCACTCCAGCCTGGGCGACAGAGCGAGACTCCGTCTCAAAAAAAAAAAAAAAAAGAAAACTATAGACCAATATCTCTCAGGAACACACATGCAAAAATCCTTAGCAATCTGCTAATATTTTGCTATCAGTTATTGCTGATAATTTTTCTTGCTCTAAAGTCTGCTCTGTTTAAAATGAATATAGCACTCCTACTTTCCTTTGATTATTGTTAGTGTGGTATATCTTTCTGCATCCATTTACTTGTAATCTATATTACCTTTATATTTAAAGTGGGTTTCTTATAGACAAGATATAGCTGGGTCTTGGTAGTTTGATCTTTCTTCTCCTTCCGAGACTCTCATTACTCATATGTGACACCTTTTATAGTTGTCCCATAGTTCTTGGATATTCTATTCTCTTTTTTTCAGTCTTTGTTCTCTTTGCTTTTCAGGTTTGGAGGTTTGTATTGAGATATCCTCAAACTCAGAGGTTCTTTGCTCTGCTATGTCCAGTCTACTAATAAGCCCATCAAAGGCATTTTCTGTTACAGTGTTTTTGATATCTTGTATTTCTTTTTGGTTCTTTCTTAGGATATCCATCTGTCTGCTTGCATTGCCCATCTGTTCTTGCATGCTTTGTACTTTATCTATTAGAGCTCTTAGCATATTAATCATAGTTGTATTAAATTCCCTGTTAATTCCAACATTCCTGCCATATCTGATTCTGGTTTTGATGCTTGCTCTGCCTGTTTAAACTCTTTATTTTGCTTTTTAATATGTCGTGTATTTTTTTCTAGATAGCTAGAAAACTAAGTACTGGGTGAAAGAAACTGCTATAAACAAGACCTTAGTAGTATGGTAGTAAGGTGTAAGCAGGGTAGGAAGCATTCTGTAGTCCTGTGATTGGGCTCTTTTAGTGAGTCTATGCCTCTAGATTGTGAACTACATGCATACTTCTCAGTCCTCCCAACCTCACCTTTGGTGGAACAGGGTGGCCAGAGCAGGCTGGAGTTGGGCATTTTCTTTCTTCCAGGTCAGTCAGGCTCTGATAAAAGCCCAGCAGGTTTGGCTCTTGTTAAATTATTTATCGGGAGGAAAGACCTTGTTAAGAAGAACAAAATGCTCTAGTGTATTTCAAAATGGTTCCTTTACCTCCCCTCTTCCTGCCAGAAGCACAGGGGTATTTTTCTCTAATATTCACTCTGCTGACCTGATAGATCTCTTGCAGGTAAGACAAACAAAAGTGTAGGCCCCCTTCCCCCAGCTGGGCCCCCCTGGAATTTTTAATTCTCAAAGTTGTTGTATTAGTGTGTTCTCATGCTGCTAATAAACACATACCCAAGACTGGGTAATTTATAAAGAAAAATAAGTTTAATTGACACAGTTTCACATGGTTGGGGAGGCCTCAGAATCACAGCAGAAGGTGAAGGAGGAGCAAAGGCACGTCTTACATGGCGGCAGGCAAGAGAGTGTGTGCGGGGGAAATGCCCTTTATAAAACCATCAGATCTTGTGAGACTTATTCACTATCATGAGAACGGCACAGAAAAAACCGTCCCCCATGATTCAATCGTCTCCCACTGGGTCCCTCCCATGATATGTAGGGCTTATGGGAGCTACAATTCAAGATGAGATTGGATGGGGACACAGCTGAACCATATCAGTTCTTTACATTGAACTTTCAGCAATTCGTCAATTACAGTTCAGATTTTTCCTACTCTGGCTTTGGTTCTGGCGGAGGTGGCTACTTGCGAGCTTCTGTTTGCCGCGTTGTGATTCTCTGTATTCACCTCTTGGTCACTCAAATTTTGGGGGCAGTGATTTTCCCTGTGACTTCACTTATCTTGTGGATCTAGGAGGAGCTGTTGATTTTTAAGTTTAGCTTTTTACTTGTTGTTAGGATAGAGTGGTGTCTTCCAACCTCCTTACATGCTGGGCCAGAAACTAGAAATCCTACCAAACACTTTTTACAGTTGTTATTATTTAATTTTCACTGTAACTTGGGAGGTAATTTTTATTGACCTGACTTTACAGAGAAGTAACTTAGACCCAGAAAGGCTACGTACCAACTAATTGGTAGAGATGGAACTAAAAGTCTCCTAATTGGCATCTTTATGCTAGGCATTGCTCTATAGCTGCCATCTTTGTTTAAAAGACAAATACAACTGAAAGGGTAAAATAGTAAGCCACTGATTCCAAAGTATAAATCAGCTTTAACTGCAACAGGAATAAAGCATTTAGAGAGACCACAAAAAAGAAACGAGGAACATAATAAAAGTTGGCCTGGAAAGGAGGAAAATAGGATACAAATAGGAGATGAAGGTCACCAACAAGCAATATTCACAGCTTCACAACTTCACTTGGGTCTGGCCCTGTTGCCTACATGGGCTCAGTGACAGCTACCCCCAAGATTCATTTCTAGGGTTGAGTCCATAGCCTGGTCAATTATAATCAAGCTTGGATTATTTGTTCCAGCTTTGCTGAGTGGGAGTTGGATACCAGTGTAATGTGATAAACGATGTTTTATTGGTCCTCGTGGTCAGGATTTGTTCTATTCACTGGGGCCATAATAAATGTGTGCCCCAAATAGCACATGAAGTTCTATGTAGCCAGATTAAAATGCCCTCTAAGTAGTCTCAATGCCATGTTTTTGTCAGTCTCCAAATTGGCATGACCTAATAGGGAAAGAGTGCTGTAAACAAGAGGGAACACTTTATTGTCCATCAAGAGAGAGACATGTCCTATTTCCTCCTTGGCTTAGCTTGCCAAGTTTGGTACAACAGAAACCCAGTGAAGATTCAGGATGTCTCAAAATCAAAGCACATAATAAAGGAACATGGTGCATATAAAGTACTAATGTCAAAGTTTGGTTTAATTTTCAAGACTTTATTATTTAAAGTTATAGATACACTTCGGGGCTTTTGAAAGAACACTAAACATACTGTAAAAATATTTCATTTAAGCTACTTTGACTCACCTTCCATTTACAAACTATTTTATATGTTACCTAAAATACAAACAGCAAGATAATTATTTTTTGGAACAATGCTATCTAAATCCTGAGGGAAACAGTAACAATAACAGATTTAAAATATTGGATGCTTATAGATACTTATAAAATACATCACAAATATTTTCTCTAATGATCGGCAATATTTTGTGCTTTTTGAATCCAGAAATTGAAAGGTTAATCAGCTTATCCAAGATCACATATGTTTTAGTCTCAGTTCTTCAGAGAAAACAGATCCAATAGGGGTGTGTGTGTGTGTGTATGTGATATTTATCTTAGTATAATAAAAATATTTATTTTGAGGAATTCGCTCATATAATTATGGAGACTGAGAAGTCCCAAGATCTGCATTTGGCAAGCTGGAGGCCCAGGAGAGCCAATGGTAACAGTTCTAGTCTGAGTCTGAAGGCCTGAGAGTCAGAAGAGCTGATGGTGTAAGGTTTACTCTGAGTCTGAAGGCAGAAGAATACTGATGTCCCAGCAGTCAAGCAGGGAGTGTGAATTCTCTCTTACTCAGTCTTTTGTTCTCTCCAGGACTTCAACAGATTGGATGGGGCCCACTTACACTGGGAGGGCAATCTGCCTTACTTAGTCTACGGATTCAAATGTTAATCTCATCTAAAAACATCCTCACAGACATACACAGAATAATGCCTAAACAAATGTCTGGGCACCCCATGGCTCCATCAGGTTGACACATAAAATTTACCACCACAGCATAGCTGGAAAGCAGCTGAGATGGGGGATTTAAATACAGATCAATTTAACTGTAAGGTCTATAGTTTTTCATCACATCACTCTACCCCAAAGGAGGTGAGTTTTCTGATCCCAAGCTCCAACTTTAAGAGCTACATTGATTGTTTTGGGATGTGGGGGAGATCCTGTTAAAAACTCTTTTCATCAAATATTCTGAGATCACCCATCTGTTAATTTAGTTTCATCTGGCTCACCTCCAAGCCTCTGACACATTCATTGCTGGTAATGTTCTGGAAATTCCCATTGCACTTCCTTTTTGGCAAAGTTGACTTTCATTTACATTGGGGTTACTAAGAATTTCAGACAATAAAAAGTAGCTTATCATCCAAAAAAGCTAAGGCCTTCTAATTTTTTTTTCTTTTTTTTTGTGATGGAGTTTTTTTTTTCTTTTTTTTGAGATGGAGTTTCACTCTTGTTGCCCAGGCTGGAGTGCAGTAGCGTGATCTTGGCTCACTGCAACCTCCGCCTCCTGGGTTCAAACGATTCTCTGCCTCAGCCTCCCGAGTTGCTGGGATTACAGGCATGTGCCACCACACTCGGCTAATTTTGTATTTTTAGTAGAGATGGGGTTTCACCATGTTGGCCAGGCTGGTCTTGAACTCCCAACCTCAGGTGATCCACCCACCTTGGCCTCCCAAAGTGCTGGGATTACAGATGTGAGCCACCACGCCCAGCCAGGCCTTCTAATTTTTTAAATTAAAATATTGTAAACATAAAATTTATTTTTCAAATTATTTATTTATTTATTTGTATTGTATATAGTGTATACAACATAATGCTTTGTTACACGTGTACATAGTGAAATAATTGCTGTAAGTAAGCAAATTAACATATCCTTCACTTTTCATAGTTACTTTTTTGTCATAGGAGCATCTGATATCAACTCTCTCAGCAAATTTTCAATATACAATATAGTTAATAATACGATACTATCAGCTATAATCCTTCTACTATATACTAGATCTCTAGACTTATTAATGTTACATAAGTTTGTATCTTTTGACCTACATCTCACCATTTTCTCCCCTTCCCAAATTATTTTTCAAAAACACAGGTTCTTTGGTTCGAAAATCCAAATTGATTTTTATACCTTTAGTTTGCATATTCAAGAAGTTCAAGACTTCTTAATAGATAAGATACACTGCATAAACCACTTAGAGCTATCTAAAACCACATAAAACTCATGTCTTAAGAAATGATGACGAGCATTAAAACTTGAAATGCATATTTCTCCCAATTTCTAGAATCACATTTTGCATTAGATACTATTATATCATCCACTATGTCATATGTAAGACAACATTCTCAACCAGTCTGTCTAACCATACTGAGCAGTCTGTGAAACAAATCAGCTGAATATGATGTTGCCCTGGGCAGGAATACCCTGACCCACCAGGAAAAGATTGGCTGCGTACCTGTCAACGATGGGCTCCAGCCCTCACTCTCTGATCTGTTTGGTATTCAGGAAATTCTCTCTGAGTGCCTCATCTCTGTGGTCTGTAGGAGTTAATGTGCCAGAAAAGGAAAGAAAATTCCTTTTCAGTATATTAATGAGATCAGACCCAAGGACAATTGAACAAGACTCCCCCTTTTTTTTGAGACGGAGTCTTGCTCTGTCACCCAGGCTGGAGTGAAGTGGCGAGATCTCGGCTCACTGCAACCTCTGCCTTCCAGGTTCAAGCAATTCTTCTGCCTCAGCCTCCTGAGCAGCTGGGACTACAGGCCCGTGCCCCACTACGCCCAGCTAGTTTTTGTATTTTTAGTAGAGATGGGGTTTTATCATATTGACCAGGCTGGTCTCAAACTCCTGACCTCGTGATCCGCCTGCCTTGTCCTCCCAAAGTGCTGGGATTACAGGCATGAGCCACTGCGCCCAGCCCAAGACTCCTATTTTTAAAACCTGAAAAAATTTTCATGAATGAAATGCAGATAGAATCTGTAAGTCACTTGCTACATTAAAATACTCAGGCAAAGGGAGGTATTTCTATACATTATGATGTGTGCCTCCAAGCTTGTTTCAGAAATAAATATTTTAAAATAGGTACTTATTTGCCTGCTACATCATTAACTCATTCATTCATTCAATACATGTCCATTAGGCATCTCTCATTTTAAGTCATTTTTATGCTGGGTAGTTTCAGGGGTTTTAAGATAAATAGTAGAAGTGTTGAGAGAAGACAAACACCCAAATAACTGAAATGCAAAACAGAGCATTATAAGTGCTGAGTAAGAGGAAAAACAAAGAGTTATCAGGATTTAAAACAGGGTAAAATTAAACAGAGCCCCAAATGAAGTAAATTAGGAAATATTTTATGAAGGAAGAAGAAGGTGATTTTAGCCTTGAAGGATGGTAGGCACTTCTGGCAAAGCACCAATATAAGCATAAGTCTGTTGGTGGGAAAGTTCACTGTACAGCACAGCTTGGTTGATGGGAAGAGTGTGGGAGATTGGGATGGAATGATGGACCCAGCACAGATCAGAGGAGAAACCAGAGAGGCCATATTGGAATTAAAAGTTAAACTCAACTGGAAAGCAATTGCTTGTGCACACTGTGGTCAGTGTGGTCTGCAAGTCGGAAGCCCTCTGCTCTACTCTGGCCTCCTCTGTGTCTTCTGGGGCTTCTTTCACCTCTCTGGGCCTCAGTGTCCATACATGTAAAATGAAAATACCACTCTGCCGACTTCACGAATTTGTTATAATGATTAGATAATGTAGATTATTACTGATTTTCAATGTTGGGTGGTAGAGGAGTTGGTTAGAGCTATGCTATTTAACTTTTCAGACCTCAGAACATAAATAATTTTTAACGTAAAACAGCCTTCAAAATTCTCTTTAAATAATATTGCTAGACCCACAGAAACATAAATCAAAAACAAGTTAATCATATATCATGGCAATGATGATAAATTGCTTTTTTATGACCTTTATAATATGGACGCTATTAAGATTCCAATTGAAAGGAAACTAAAAATTAGAGAGGGGAAGTAGTTTTCTACAGTTATGGGCTGGAAAGTAGCAGAGCTAAGTCTATAAACTCAAGCAGCCAGACAAGTTGAAATGCTTAACACAGGCTAAACTGCTCTAAAATAAAGCAAGAATGCTACAATCTTGCATATGGTTTAAATAAAAGAAAAAATACATACTTTCGGTGACTATTATCCAAGATTATTAATCCAAACAGATAATTTTTATTCTCTTTTATTTAAAAAAGTACACCAAAGAAAAATATTTAATACTAACATTATGAATCGGTGAATTGAAATTAAAATGGGATACTATTTTTAGTTGACATTTTAGCAGATGCCTTAAAACACCGTTCACGTATTTTTTTTCAGTTTATAAATTAAGACAGGTTCATCATAGAAAACTGAAAAAATATTGAACAGCATAAAGGCAATAAAACAACCCACAGTCTTATCATTAACATTTTATTAAATGTCTTTCCAATCTTTGTAAATATGCTACACTGTTAAGAATTACAAATATTGGGGGCGGGAAATCCTCGGCTTCGGTGGTGGTCGTGGACATGTCGAGCCGGGTAGAAGTGGAGGGGCCATTCGAGGAGTCGTGAGGGGGTGACAGGCTAAGATTTGGAGAGAGAGGCTCTAGTGGCTGGACTTGACCTGGGAAGAATCTTCTGCTGACTCTCAACTTTTCTTGGAAAAAATGGATCATTCCCATCATACGGGGATGAGCTGTATGGACTCCAACAGTACCATGCAACGTCCTCACCATCACCCAACCACTTCAGCCTCACACTCCCGTGGTGGAGGAGACAGCAACATGATGATGATGATGCCTATGACCTTCTACTTTGGCTTTAAGAATGTGGAACTACTGTTTTCCAGTTTGGTGATCAATACAGCTGGAGAAATGGCTGGAGCTTTTGTGGCAGTGATTATACTAGCAGTGTTCTATGAAGGACTCGATAGCCCAAGAGAGCCTGCTGTGTAAGTCACAAGTCAGCTTTTGCTACAATTCCATGCCTGTCCCAGGACCAAATGGAACCATCCTTATGTAGACACACAAAACTGTTGGGCAGCAGATGCTGAGCTTTCCTCACCTCCTGCAAACAGTGCTGCACATCATCCAGGTGGTCATAAGCTACCTCCTCATGCTCATCTTCATGACCTACAATGGGTACCTCTGCATTGCAGTAACAGCAGGGGCCGGTACAAGATACTTCCTCTTCAGCTGGAAGAAGGCAGTGGTAGTGGACATCACAGAGTATTGCCATTGACGTCAAACTCTATGGCATGGCCTTATCGATTGCAGTGGGAAGCTGTTCAAGACTTGAAGACGTGATTCCTGCTCCAATCATCCCTTCTTGCTCCTCTTTGTGCACGTACACACACACACACACACACACACACACACACACCTGCTCAACAGAGGTTTAGTTTACAGTCTCTGAGCTAAAGCAGTAAACTCCCAAATTGTTTTTTCTAATAAGCTGAGATTCCCATTTCTCTTAAGGAGAAGCCACCCATGAGATGTCTTTTCCTTCTCCATCATCTTAGAGCCAAGTTATATGTTCTTATCTAATCCATGTAGCTTTTTGTTCATTGACTTTATCATCTGCTTCCTTTCTGGATGTTTAACAAATAGTAAGTACATTTTTTTTGCCCTGGGTCAGTGATGGAAAGGGGTTAACTTCAGCCAGGATTGATGGCAGCTGAGGGAAATTCTCGCCCAACTAAACCCAGAACTCAAACTTAACATTAGAACCATTAGAACATTAGAACATTAACATTAGAACATTAGAAAACAAGGTCCAAGGCCGGGCGCAGTGGCCCACAGCTGTAATCCCAGCACTCTGGGGGGCCAAGGCAGGCTGGATCACCTGAGGGCAGGAGTTCGAGACCAGCCTGGCCAACATGGTGAAACCCCGTCTCTACTAAAAATACAAAAATTAGTTGGGTGTGGTGGTGGGTGTCTGTAATCCCAGCTACTTAGAAGGCTGAGGCAGGAGAATCACTTGAACCTAGGAGGCGGACGTTGCAGTGAGCCAAGATGGCACCATTGCGCTCCAGCCTGGGCGACAAGAGTGAAGCTCCATCTCAAAAAAAAAAAAAAAAAGAAAAGAAGGTCCAGCTTTTGGATTCAATGAGTGGGAAATACATTGTGCCTTTCTCTAGATGCAATGCGTTATACCAAAATCTTTGTAGTGTGCAGAGGGGCGGTTTGAAACTAAATACAGACTTACAGCTTGCAGAGTGTGTATTCTTGGATGGCTGACTCATTGACTTGCATTCCCACTTAACACTTTGATTAGCATGAACTTGCCAATCAAAAAATGACAATCAATTTGAGAAAATAGAAATAGATATTTTTAAGTAAAACCATTCTCAGTTTACTTTTTGTTCCAGCTGAAGTGAAGCAAAAGAGTTTGAATTATTTTTCCCATTATTGTTTTCACATGTCTGCCTCTAAAACAGTAATTTTCAAGCTTTAGTGTGCATCAGAATCACAGGCTTGTTAAAACACTAATTGCTGGGCCTTAATCAAAAGCCCCCAAAGTGGCACTTCTGAGTTCCTGCTGATGTTACAAGGGACCACACTTTGAGAATCTCTGCTTTAAGCTAAGGAAATATTACCTGGTAGGTTGGCTGTCTGGTATTGGGCATGGAAATTTGAATTGCTGATTGGTAGATGGTGTGTCTGGACTTAACTCACACATAAATACTGCTGATCAATACCTAATCATTCCACATTTATTGAGCTCCACCTGTGTGTATGTGTGCCCAAGCACACATCCGTGAAAGGCTATAGCCAAAGTATTTTTACTAGCCTGTATGAAATCACTGGCCTTTATTTTTAAAGGTCTATGGTTTCTTGGAAGTAGTTTGATTGTTGAGAGAGACCTTTGATCTGCACTGTAAATCTACCAGTCATGAGCCAGAAGGGCAAAAGCAGAGCTTTCTCTTTGGAAAGACTCAGGGTGTGGTTTGCTGATGGCCAGATTTTCCTCAGGCTCCAACAACTGTGCTCACACCAAGCAGATCCTCATCCTCTATATAAGCATCTTTGTTATTAGTGGGGGTTTAATTACATTACAAGTGGCCAAAACCCCTGTTCTCAATGAAGAACCACATAGGATTTTTATTCTGTTCAGTCGTAGTCTACACTGCAGTCTTATTCCCGGTTCAAACTACCTCTTTAAATTGATTCGTTGTGTGCTGATCTGTTAAATCCTGCCCTCCTTGGTGCTAGATCTAGTTGTGTCTCAGGGCAGAGGAAACAAAACACAGCTATCCTGTTGGCCTTTGTACTTTCTCTGTGGGTGCTAGTTAAATATTGGAGAGCAAGGAATGTATACTTGTATGGCTTTGAACCAAGAGAGGGTTATGAGCCTACTGGATTGAGGTTAAAATCCAAGAACCAACATTTAGAGATTTGTGCTTTTCTCTCATTCCATCACCTTGCAATGATGATACTTAACATGAGCAGGGTGAATGACAGGTACTGACAAAGTCCAACACAAAGGTGTAATACAGCCTGTTGTCCCAAGCCAAGGAATCATAAAACCATGAGAAATCAATAGAAATCAATATTTAATAGTGACACTGGTGCTCTCTACAAATCTCAGCATGAAATGCCATAGAATACCCTCCCAACAACAGAACCTTATCAGTAAGGCCAGCTAGACACAATGGCTCATGCCTGTAATTCCAACACTTTGGGAGGCCAAGGTGGGAGGATGGCTGGTGTCCAGAAGTTTGAGACCAGCTTGGGCAACATAGTGAGATCCCGAGATCCCATCTCTACAAAAAATCAAAAATTAGCTGGGCATGGTTGTGCACACCTGTGGTCCTGGCTACTTGGGAGGCTGGGGCAGGAGGATTGCTTTAGCCCAGGAGGTCGAGGCTGCAGTGAGTCATGATTGTGCCACTGCACTCAGCCCGGGTAACAGAGCAAGACCCTGTGTCAGAAAAAAAAAAAAGAAAGAAAAAAAAGAAAATTCAAGGCCAGTTAAGACAAAATGTTATGACTTTGAAATTCACAGAAATAAATAAATAGCAGTTTAGATTAGGTCTTCAGGTATCCAGGATAGAGATACAGGTATTCAGGATAGAGATAATCTCCTGAAAAATATGAATTTCAGAGATTCTTAGACTGGCTGCCAAAGGATGAAGCCAGTGAAGGAGAAAAAGCTTAAATTCCATCTTGAGCTCTTGGATTGTGATAATACAATGATTTCATTAACTTTTCATTTCTGTATACCTGTTCATTTGGAATGTAATGCTTGACTTCTTTGTTCGTTTTGGATCTAAACTTCTCTTTTCCTCCTTCCCTGTTCACATCTGTTAGAAGACTGCATCACCATTTCTTTGGCCCCCTTACTCTGCTGTCCTTTCCCTTTTCTTTCAGTTTTTTAAATCTCATGTCTACTGTATTAAATCTCCATAGCCCTCCTGATGCAGTAGACAGTGGTATGCTGTGGATATAAATACCAATCAGAAATTGGCATTTATAAACCTGTTAGAGACTTTAAGCATGCTTCAAGAGGCAGTTGCCCCACTGGAATTTCTATAAGGCTGGTACCCTTCCCAGAGTTACAGAATCTTGGGTGCTATCTCTAGTCTGTGATGGAGGAACTCCCAGCATCCCCATTTTCCACAAATGGAATCCTCACTGTATCCACTAGGAGATTAGAGATTAAGGTTTCTTTACTACTTCTATGGTAGGGTTGTCTGAAATTCCCTTTCAGGCTGTGGGTACTGGTCTTGGGTTCTAGTCATAAGGGGTTCCTTATAAGGAGCAGGTGGAGGGGAATACATTTTCATGTCATTTAATTTTGATCCTGCCCTCTCCAGCTACTTCGTCAAAAGATACAAAGTCTGGGCCAGGCACAGTGGCTCACACACTTTGAGAGGCCAAGTGGGGGTGGGTCACCTGAGGTCGGGAGTTTGAGACCAGCCTGGCCAACATGGTGAAACCCCATCTCTACTAAAAATACAGAAACTAGTTGGGTGTGGTGGCGCATGCCTATAATCCCAGCTACTCTGGAGGCTGAGGCAGGAGAATCGCTTGAACCTGGGAGGTGGAGGTTGCAGTGAGCCAAGATGGTGCCATTGCACTCCACTCTGGGCGACAAGAGCAAAACTCCGTTTCAAAAAAAAAAAAAAAAGTCTGCATTTGATATAATGCCTTACTTACTGGGGTCTACAAATAACGTTGACTGTTTTAGATTGTAAGCTCCTGGAGAGCAATATTGCTGTAGTAGGAATGTTTTAACACTGTCATATGAAAAAGAACAAAATAAATATTCTGATTTTGTGATTTAAAAAAAGAATTAAAAATGTTTACATTTGAAGTTATAAGTTTCTCAGCAACAGAATTTTCACTCATTGCTATTTTTTGCCACTTTACTATATATAAGAAGATATGATTTGTGGGGAGAACATGTGTTCTCATTGTTCAATGCCCACTTATGAGTGAGAACATGTAATATTTGGTTTTCTGTTCCTGTGTTAGTTTGTCAAAGATAATGGCCTCCAGCTCCATCCATTTCCTCAGGCGTGAGCCACCACACCCGGCCGATCTTTTTCTTTTTTATGGGTGCATAGTATTCCATGGTATACATGTACTACTTTTTCTTTATCCAGTCTATCACTGATGGGCATTTGGGTTGATTCTATCTCTTTGGTATTGTGAATAGTGCTGCAATGAACATACATGTGCATGTGTTTTTGTAATAGAATGATTTCTATTTCTTTGGGTATATTACCCAGTAATGGGGTTGCTGAGTTGAATGGTATTTCTGTTTTTAGGTCTTTGAAGAATTGCCACACTGTCTTCCATAATGGCTGAACTAATTCACACTCCCACCAACAGTGTACAAGCATTTCTTTTTCTCCACAACCTTGTCAGCATCTGCTGTCTTTTGACGTTTTAGTAATAGCCATTCTGACTAGTGTTAGATGGTATCTGACTATATAAGTTTATATAATATACAAATATATAATACAAATCATATCTCTTCCCAGTCTTTCACTCTTAGTGGTGTGTTTTAATTAAACTACTGGCTTTTTACATAACAAAAAATTAACTGTTCTCTTTACTGGTAGAAATAATGAATTCAATGAATCATCACTTTTAATTTTGTTTGACATCAAACTACTAAAATATAACATTATTTTACATATGTTTGCAGAATATTAATAAAGAGAATAGCACAGAATGGAGTTTAAGAGACATTGATTTAGAACACCATGGAAATGAATTGATCTTATCGGGCAAAGTTAGCACCCCTTAACCCAGGCTGGGAACTGACAAGCAAATGCAGGTCCTTTATATGAGAGTGAATGTGGTTCAGCCTAAATCCACCACAACTGAACCAAAAATGCAAAAAGGAATTCTTGGATAGAAAAAAAAGCATTATCAGAGACTCCTTTTTTTTTTTTTTTTTGAGATGGAGTCTCGCTCTGTTGCCCAGGCTGGAGTGCAGTGGCACAACCTCCGCTCACTGCGAGCTCTGCCTCCCGGGTTCACGCCATTCTCCTGCCTCAGCCTCCCAAGTAGCTGGGACTACAGGTGCCCACCACTACGCCCAGCTAATTTTTTGTATTTTTAGTAGAGACGGGGTTTCACCGTGTTAGCCAGAATGGTCTCGATCTCCTGACCTCATGATCCGCCTGCCTCAGCCTTCCAAAGTGCTAGAATTACAGGCATGAGCCACCGCACCTGGCCCAGAGACTCCTTCTTATCTGAGTTTTCATTACTTAAATTCCTCTAGAACATGATTATATAGGAATATTTGCCATTACATGAAAGTATTCACTCATGAACCGAACACCCATAAAATTGTTCCCCTTTCAAACAATCTTCTCTGCTTAGCTTGAATGACTATCCCTGATCACAAGTCAAAACTTTTTCAGCCTAACTCTTATTGCTTGTAGAATACTGTAAACATCTGACAACACAAGTCAAATAGATGGCAAAGTGGAGTTGTGATTCTTGCAAAAGATGCAGAATTTCATGAAATTGATGAAAATAATGTTGGAGAACTGCTCCAACATCAAGTATAGTCACGTGTCAACAGACTAGGTAAAAACTGAAGAAAAAAAACGGACAAGGAATCATATAAATTAACACTAAAGAAGAGTAATGGGTAAGGATGATGATACAAGAAATGCTTCCAAAATGTACCAGCTTAAATGTCAGGGAATTTTTTTAATCCCTTTGGAAAATTGATGAAAACCCTTGATTTAAAAAATGTTTTTGGTAAAAAAGATCCCCTTTGATGGTGTTACCGAAAGGTAGTATGAGCTAAACAAAGTCGCACTGTGCCATCCTATAATTTTGTCCAAGAAAATGTGTCCTCTTCATGCCAAATCAACTCCTCAACATTCTTTGGGCTAAGAATTAATGCATAGTTGCAAATAACCATATACATTTTGTTAATTTTAAGATAATTATTTTTATTATTTACCTTGAAATATGCTCTTTATTGTAAGAGGATTAATTAACTTTGGCCCTTTCCTGGTATCATTTATCCTTGGATACTGAGTGCGTCTTATAATTCTGTTTTCTATGAAGAACTTTAGAGATGGAGCTTGTTTGTTGTATTCACACTTGTATGAGGCATTTTGTAAAGAAGTTCTTTACTTTGCAGATAGATAGCATAATAGAAGCACAGGGCAGACAGATGATCTGCAAAGGTCACACTAACAGTGTTTACATTTATGTCTGACTCCACTGCCTACTCTCTTTAGGTCAGAATGCCTCCTAGGCCCTCAAAAGCGGAGGCAGCCAGAAACCCAGCATTATTCTTTCTAATCCTCAGTCCTGTAAATGAGAAAATGATGTCTTACTTTTATAAAGTACTACTAATAATAGGGTCTGCATAGGGTACATGAGTGGCAAAGCACCTTCACAAACATATCATTTGGTCTTCTCTTATCACCCCAGGAAGTGGTGAAGAAGCAGGCAAGTGGGAAACTGAGGCTCGGAAAGCTAAAATGGCTTGTCTGAGGACCCACAGCTCAAAAACAGCAGTGTTGTGCCTGAAACTTAACACTTTTAGACTGTGGTGCCGAGTTCTGTTCTCTGTACCTCTCTGGTTTTTGGCATGAAAATAAAGCAGGGAAAGTTAGCAAAGAAATTCATTAACAAAGTTACCATTTAAATAACCTCTCCATCAAATACATGGTCTTCATACTGCAACATTTCCAGGTGAATAACTTTGGTGTTTCTCTTCTGACAGTGGCGTTCACAATACATACAAGAGGGAGCTTGGAGATCACACATTTCCTTACCTTGGAGGCTGAAGAAGATCCTGGTTTATGAACTCTCTGTTAGTAAGAAAACCAGCAAAAAGGCCTTTCAGATTCTCCGTCCCATATAGTGTGCTATTCAGGAGAGCCGATAGAGGGCGGTTACTGAACACAGATCGTGTGAAAATTAACAGCTTCCGAACTGATTTCTTTGCATTGGCTTTGTCAGTTTTACTTTCTATTTCTTGGGAAATATTTCTATTTCTAGTTCTATTAGATTTCTATTTCTATTCGTTTCTATTTCTTGGGAGTATGTCAGGGGAAGGCCAAGATCATAGCAGCAACGCAGACAGGATTTATGAAGTCTGCTTACCATTTCTCATAGAACTCTAGATTCTCCAAGCCTACAAGATTCTCCAAGCCTACAAGATTTATTCTAATAACCCCTGAAGTTAATCAGATTCATCTTATCCCTGACTCCTCACCCCTCTTCTCTCACCAATACACATGTCCTCTTGCTCCTGGTAATAACACAAAAACAACATGGTTAAATTTTGGACTGAACAATTACTAGGCAAGAGAAAGCACAAAATCCTTTGGTCTTGCACAGCTAATGGTAAGCAGCAACTGGAAATAAAAACAAATACACATTATGAGTTCAGCTATATCTCAAGTTAGTTTTTTTGCTTTTGCTTTTGTTTTCTTTTCCCTGCTCTATTAATGAGTTAATCAATTAAGATTTTCTTTCCTTGCATGGAAAGATTTTTGGCTTTGTTTTTAGATTAAGAAAGCTTTTCTCAGTTTCTTAGTTAATTATGAACATGCACTATCACATCATCTTGGACTCAATTCAAAAACTTATCTAAAACATGTAATTACTGGGAAATTCCAGATTAATTTCCTGCAAGTTTTAGTTAGTTAACGATTGTGTTAAACACTTAAGAGAGCAGCTCCTAGATGACTAAACCTGCTCAGCTGAAATCAAATGCTCTCATGCTTCCCTGAATGGACACACACAGAGTCTCTTCACCTGAGGAATAAAGTGTAAGGTGAGGACCCGGTTCTTACCTAAGAGAACAAAATAGCAAAGACACCTCTATAGCTTTGAGAATACGGACATGTTGGGCCGGGTGCGGTGGCTCATGCCTGTAATCCCAGCACACTGGGAGGCCGAGGCGGGTGGATCACCTGAGGTCAGAAGTTCAAGACCAGCCTGGTCAACATGGTGAAACCCCATTTCTACTAAATATACACAAATTAGCCAGACGTGGTGGTGGGCGCCTGTAATCCCAGCTACTCAGGAGGCTGAGGCAGGAGAATTGCTTGAATGCAGGAGGTGGAGGTTACAGTAAGCTGAGATTGCGCCATTGCGCTCCAGCCTGGGCAACAAGAGTGAAACTTCATCTCAAAAGAGAAAAAAAAAAGGGATACAGGCATGTCTTCTTGAGTTCTGGGTGAGAAAGAAAAAAAAGAATACAGATATGAAAGCTAGTATATACTCATGTATATATGAATGTATATACATTATATAAAGGTATTTATCTTGAGAGCTTATTGTTTTAATAATAATTCTTTTCCTATGGAGAACTCAAAATAATATATTGAGTCCCTGTCTGCATTGCCTTGGCGGGGAGGGAAGGTCGGAAAGAGAGAGAACAGGAGAAACGAAAGTTCACTTCAGGTCCTAGGTCACGTGGTGAATTTGGCAGAGCTTGACCGGGAACGCCTGCTTTTGTTAGACTTTGAGACTTGTAGGAAAACACTCCAAACAAAGGCCTTAAGACAAATCTACCAGTTGAGGTAGGAAATCCACTGAGATATTTAGTAGACAGAACTTGATAATTTCTTTCCTTTCATATTTTCATTTTAGATCTTCAGAACTTTTATTCAGGGGAGAAAGGCCCAGGTAGCTGCTGCTGTTCAGCTTAAGGCTAATCTGACCTTCTATAACAGGAGTTCAAGTCCCAGAAATCCCTAGTCCTCCATCAGAGGTAAGTAAGGATGGCAGCTGAACCCAAGAAAAGGAGCATGAATGATTAACTCTTCCTTCATTTCACCTCAGAAAATGGGGGCTGGGCGCAGTGGCTCACACCTGTAATCCCAGCACTTTGGGAGGCTGAGGCAGATGGATCACTGAGGTCAGGAGTTTGAGACCAGCTTGGCCAATGTGGTGAAATCCCATCTCTGCTAAAAATACAAAAATTAGCCAGGCGTGGTGGCGTGTGCCTGTAATCCCAGCTACACCAGAGGCTGAGGCAGGAGAATTGCTTGAACCCAGGAGGTGGAGGTTGCAGTGAGCTGAGATCACGCCATTGCACTCCAGCCTGGACAACAAGAGTGAAACTCCATCTCAAAAAAAAAAAAAAAAAAAAAAAGGAAAGAAAGAAAGAAAAGAAAAATAAAATGTGGGGAAAAATATTTTACTTTAATACTTTGCCTGCCCTGTCAAGACGTAGTTCATCATGCTTTGTGGGGAAAAAATTCACAATTAAAAGGATTTAGCTCTGTGTGACAGCTGATATTCTTAACTGCAACGGTCTTTCTGAGGAGTTATTATTTCAAAGAAAAAAGTGCATTGAGGACAATAAATATGTTTATTTTCATTGGTAAAGAAGGAAAGTAGAATAAGTTTTCATATTTGTTTTTAAGAATATGAATTCTACTCTGTTCTTTGCAATGTTTTCTATCTTCTAGCAAACACATTAAAAGGGCATTTATTTTTCTTACGCTCAACCAGAAGCAGCTAGTGTGTACTGCTCTCACAGAGAGAAATAGATGGGGCGAGTAAATACTGCACTTTCAACCGAAACATACAGATACACATGTTGGAATTCATCAAGAAAACAACCTGACCCATGGAGAATGGAGAAAAGCAGGGCAGGACAACCGCCCACACGGGAGAAACATGGAGCCAGGGGAACCTCCCCATCCAGGGAAGCCGTGAGTGAATGAGCGACCCTGCGGACCAATGCTTCTCCCATGGATCGTTGCTACTCTTGGGTCAGGAGATCCCCTCATGAACCCACTCCACTAGGGCCTTCAGTCAGATACACAGAGCTATGGGGAGTCTTGGCAGAGCAGCCGCTCAGGTACACACGGAGCCCCAGGAGCCTTAGATATCCTGGCTTCCTGGCAAAAGTAACTGCTACTCCAGCCAAGTGGGAGGTTAGACCCCCATACCTACTCCTATGAAAGGGGCTGAATCCAGGGGGCTGAGCAGCGATGATCTGCAGGCCTCACTTCCATAGCACTTCAGAGGTCACAGGATAAGACCCACTGGCTTGGAACTCTAGCCAGCTGCTGGTAGCAGCATTACACATCCCTGAGAGGGAGCTCTCAGAGGAAGGGGTAGGCGGCCATCTTTGCTGTTTCACAGCCTCAGTCCTTGTTGCCTTCAGGCTTTAGAGAGTGCAAGGTGATCCATCAGTGACTGGAGTGGACCCCCCAGCACAACATGGCTGTCCTGTGGAAAAGTGGCCAGACTGCTTTTTTACACAAGTCTCCAAACCTGTTTCTCCTCACTGGATGAGTCCTCCTGGCCTGGGTCTCCACCCACCCCCTGCCAGGGATATTGAGCCAGTAGCAGCTCCATAACTCTCTGGGACAGCGCTCCCAGTGTTTGGGGGTTGGGGGGTGAGAGGGTGGGGGGTGTGATGTTTGCTGTCTTGCAGCCCTTGCCCTTACTGTCTCCAGGCTCTGAAAAGTCCTCTGTGAGTACCAGGGGCTGGTCCAGACCCCCAGCACAGAGCGCCCACCTTAGAAAAGCGGTCAGACTGTTCCCCACAAGTCCCAGTCCTCACTGCATAGGGCTGCCCGACCTGAGACTCCAGCACCACCATCCTGTTTCCGCCTGACCACTTCAATCAGAGGCACCCCCGCATTTCTTCGAAGAGGAAATAAATACCAGAGTGAACCCACAAACCTTCGCCTCTGCAGTTGCAGTGGTACTGCCCTAACAGACCTCAGGCTGGGGAAGGAACAAAGGTCCCAGTCACTACACTGGTATCTTTAGTGCACCGCAGCCACCATATGGAAAGGAGTTCAGTTTCTCTTTCCTGGGAATCCCCACCCGCTACTCTTCACCAGGCAGGGCCCCTGGTTCATGACCACAGAACAGTCACGTCACCCACAGCTGAGCAAACCCACCGGTAGTGGCCTGGAGTTTCCCTGGGGAAAAGCTCTCAGAGGTATATGACAGTCTCTCCACCACAGTGACCACATGGAGAGGAGACCATTATCTCCTCTCAGTGAGCCCTTGAACCCCTGCTCCCCAACAAGTGGAGCCTCCAACTCACACCAGCAGTGCAGCCACCCACCTCACTGGCTGAACATTCCCAGTAACAGTGACTCTGCATTTCTTGGGGTTGGAGCCCTCAGGGGCAACCAAAAGCCTCTCTGCCACTGCCTCTGTAGTAGTACTACCCCTACTACCTTTAGACTAATTAAACAGCAAAGACCCTAAGTGCCTCATCCACACCCCCAACAAGCTGCAGTTAACCCAAGGAGAGGAGACCAGTCCATCTCCCACAGGTCCCATCCACCCCTGCTGCTTGTCACCAGGGAACCCCCCAGCTTGGACCCACAGTACAGATCACCCATCTTGGGCCTATCACACTGAGCAATTGCTGACCTGCATCTCTGTGGAGTGGAGCCCCCAGGAGACAAGTAAAAGACCCCCAGCCACAACCACTGCTAAGGTCCTTCTCTCTGCTGCCTCCAAGCTGGGGAGGAAACATAAACCCTGAGATCTCCCCAGAGCTGTGGTGGGCAGCCTAGGAGTGCCAAGTCTCAATCTGTAGCCAGCACTCAAATGGGAGAGGAGTCCACACTTTCAGAGCATTGAGAGGTAGCCCAGCTGCAACCATGAGGAAATATAGAGGAGTCACATGACTGGGAAAGAGTCTACCTACTGACCACTACTTCACAAAACCCCTCATTTCCTTCTGTCCTCCCTAAAGCCTCTCAGTTTTGAATCTCATGTCTTCAAATTGTATCACCCACTGGCCTCCATGAAGCGCCTAAGCACCACCTACTGGATCACACCCCGCAGCTTCAACACCAAAAAGTTAGAAAGACTTCAAATTAACAACCTAACATCACAACTAAAAGAACTACAGAACCAAGAGCAAACCAATCCCAAAGCTAGCAGAAGACAAAAAAACACATGCTTATCTCAACAGATGTATCTCACTAACATACCCGCCCTGTAAAACCAAAGATAAGAAGTCAGCTGCAAATAAAGACCTCGCACAAAGCCTCAGCCCTGTGAAAATATTCAGGAAAAAAGTCTTCTGACTGTACTCAATCTATGCTGCAGTTAAAGGAACACCCATACACAGAGATGAGAAAGAACCAATGTAAGAACTCTGGCAACTCAAATGACCAGTGTCTTATGTACTCCAAACAATAGCACCAGTTCTCCAATGAGGGTTCTTAAACAGGCTGAGTTGGCTGAAATGACAGAAATAGAATTCAGAGTATAGATAGGAATGAAGATCATTGAGATTTAGGAGAAGAGGAAAACACAATCCAAGGAAACTAAGAATCACAATAAAATGATAAAGGAGCTGACAGGCAAAATCGCCAGTATTAAAAAGAAACCTAACTGATCTGATAGAGCTGAAAAGCACACTGCAAGAATTTCACAATGCAATCGCAAGTATTAACAGCAGAATAGACCAAGCTGGGGAAAGAATCTCAGAACTTGAAGACTGGCTCTCTGAAACAAGACAGCCAGACAAAAATAAAGAAAAAAAGAATGAAAATGAATGAACAGAAACTCCAGAAAATATAGGATTATGTAAGGAGGCCAAATCTATAAATCACTGGCATCACTGAAAGAGATGGGGAGAAAGCAAACCACTTGGAAAACACATTTTAGGATATCACTCATGAAAACTTCCCTCACCTTGCCAGAGAGGCCAACAGTCAAATTCAGTAAATACAGAGAACCTGTACAATATTCTACTCAAGAAGATCATCCCCAGGACATGTAATTGTCAGATTTTCCAAAATTGAAATGAGAGAATGTTAAAGGCAGCTAGAGAGAAAAGGCAGGGCATCTAAAAGGGAATCCCATCAGGCTAACAGTAGACCTCTCAGCAGAAACTCTACAAGCCAGAAGAGATTGGGGGCCTATATTCAACATTCTTAAAGAAAAACATCTTCAACCAATAATTTCATATCCAGCCAAACTAAGCTTCTTAAGTGTATTAGTTCATTCTCACACTGCTAGCATACTACCTGAGATTGGGTAATTTATAAAGAAAGAGGTTTAATTGGCTCATACTTATGCATGGCTAAGAGGCCTCAGGAAACTTAAAACCATGGCAGAAGGTAAAGGGGAAGCAAGGCACATCTTACATAGCAGCAGGAGAGAGAGAGTGTGTGTGCATGGGAAACTGCCACTTTTAAGCCATCAGATCTCATGAGAACTCCCTCACTATTATGAGAACAGCACTGGTGGGGGGGAACTGCCTCTATGATCCAATCACCTCCCACCAGGTCCCTCCCTCGACATGTGGAGATAAGATTTGGGTAGGGACATGGAGCCAAACTCTATTAATAAGCAAAGGAGAAATAGCCAAATAAGCAAATGCCAAGGGAGTTCAGACCCACCTTACAACAGATCCTGAAAGGAACATTAAATATGGAAAGGAAAGACTGTTACCAGCCAATACAAAAACATGTTTAGGTACACAGACCAGTGACACTATAAATCAACCACACAAGCAAGTCAGCATAATAACCAGCTAACAACACAGTGACAGGATTAAATCCACATGTATCAATACTAACCTTGAATATAAATGGGATCAATGCCCCTCTTAAAAGGCACAGAGGCCAGGCATGGTGGCTCATGCCTGTAATCTCAGCAATTTGGAAGGTCGAGGCAGGTGGATCACCTGAGGTCAGGAGTTTGAGACCAGCCTGGCCAACTTGAGGAAACCCTGTCTCTACTAAAAATACAAAAAATTAGCCAGGCATGGTGGCAGGTGCCTGTAATCCCAGCTACTTGGGAGGCTGAGGCAGGAGAATTTCTTAAACCCAGGAGGCAGAGGTTGCAGTGTGCTGAGATTGCACTACTGCACTCCAGCCTGGGCAACAAGAACGAAACTCTGTCTAAAAAATAAATAAATAAGTAGGCCAGGCACAGTGGCTCACGCCTGTAATCCCAGCACTTTGGGAGGCCGAGTTGGGCGGACCATGAGGTCAGGAGATGGAGACCATGCTGGCTAACATGGTGAAACCCCGTCTCTACTAAAAATACAAAAAAATTAGCCTGGCGTGGTGGTGGGTACCTGTAGTCCCAGCTACTTTGGAGGCTGAGGCAGGAGAATGGCATGAACCTAGGAGGCAGAGCATGCAGTGAGCTGAGATCATGCCACTGCAATCCAACCTGGGTGACAGAGCGAGACTCCGTCTCAAAAAATAAATAAATAAATAAATAAGTAAAAATAAAAAATAAAAGGTACACAGTGGCAAACTGGATAAAAAAGCAATACTCAGTGGTATGTTGTCTTCAAGAGACCCATCTCACATGCAATGACACAAATAGGCTTGAAACAAAGAGATGGAGGAAAATCTATGAAGCAAATGGAAATGAGGAAAAAGCAGGGGTTGCAATCCTAGTTTCAGACAAAACAGACTTTAAACCAACAAAGATTTTTAAAAAAAGGCAAAGAAGGGTGTTACATAATGATCAAGGTTTTAATTCAACAAGAAGACCTAACTTTCCTAAATGTATACACACCCAATGCAGGAGCATCCAAATTTATAAAGCAAGTTCTTAGAGACCTTCAAAGAGACTTAGACTCCCAGACGAGAATAGTGGGAGACTTTAACACTCCACTGATAGTACTAGACAGAACACTCAGGCAGAAAATTAACAAAGATATTCAGGACCCGAACTCAACATTGGGCCAAATGAATTTCATAGATCTCTACAGAACTTTCCATCCCAAAACAACAGAACATCCATCTTCTCATCACCACAGGGCACATACTCTAAAATCAACCACACTATTGGACATAAAACAATCCTCAGCAAATGCAAAAGGACCAAATCATACCAAAAACACTCTTGGACCACAGAACAATAAAAATAGAAATCAAGACTAAAAAGATAGCCCAAGCCATGCAATTACATGAAAATTAAACAACGTGCTCCTGAATGACTTTCAGGTAAATAATAAGATTAAGGCAAAAATCAAGAAGTTATTTGCAACTAATGAGAAAAATGATAAAACATATCAGAATCTCTGGGACACAGCTAAGGCGGTGTTAAGAGAGAAATTTATAGCACTAAACACCCACCCAAAAAGTTAGAAAGACTTCAAATTAACAACCTAATATCACAACTAAAAGAACTACAGAACCAAGAGCAAACCAATCCCAAAGCTAGCAGAAGACAAAAAAAAGTGCTTATGTTAATAGATGTAGAAAAGACATTTGATAAAATTCAACACCCCTTCATGTTAAAAACTCTCTATAAACTTGGTATTGAAGTAACATACCTCAAAATAGTAAGAGCAATCTGTGAAAAACCCGCAGCCAACATCATACTGAATGGGCAAAAGCTGGAAGCATTCCCCTTGAAAACTAGCACAAGACGAGGATGGCCTCTCTCACTGCTCCTATTCAAAGTGGCTACATAATCTTGGAACCAAAGAGAAATCTGGCGAGTGGAGTCAGTGACTTTTAAAAATTATCTTCAGGCCAGGAGCGGTGGCTCATGCCTGTAATCCCAGGACTTTGGGAGGCTGAGGCAGGCGGATCACCTGAGGTCAGAAGTTCAAGACCAGCCTGGTCAACATGGCAAAACCCCATCTCTACTAAAAATACAAAAAATTAGCTGGGCATGGTGGCTCGTGCCTGTAGTCCCAGCTACCTGGGAGGCTGAGACATGAGAATCGCTTGAACCCAGGACGCAGAGGTTGCAGTGAGCCAAGATCGTGCCACTACCCTCCAGCCTGGGCAACAGTGTGAGACTCTGTCTCAAAAAAAAAAACAAAAAAATTAAAAAAAATTATCTTCAGGTTTTATAAGGAATCAGAATATAAAAGGATATGAAGGGAAGTCCTTCAATAATCACAAGTGATGCAATGGATGAAACACAGAGAAGGTAGAGCTAGGAAAGTTCCCACCCAATCTCCAAGTGCGTCTGTTAACAACAATAAACACAAATTCATATGAGAATGTTCCTTATTGTTTTAAATATATATTACTGAAAAGCTAAAGGACCCCACTGCATAGTGGCTAATCTCTGATTTTTAGAATGACTCCAGGTAGGTGGGGAATAAGTCAAGAGGGATGTAATATGTACTCTGAGTTTTAAATTATGATTAAATTGATATCACCAAATTCTTATGTTCATGAAAAACTCCATAGTAAAGGTGAATACTCAAAATTTTCCTCAAGTTACTAAAAGTTATCATCAATAAAATTCTTAACAGAGAAGAACAAGCAAACTAGCAAAAAAGAACGACAACAACAAAAAATAACTTCTAGAATGTATTTATACTGGAGTAAGCAAATAGAGAAAGACTTAAGCCTGCGTGTGCCTAGATTAACTGGCAAAATCTGCTTTAAGTATTCTTGGCGTAGTCTGAAAAGGATTCATGTACTTAAGGTCCAAATCTCAGAAGGAAAAAAAAATGCCAGTAACACTGTTTCATGCTGGGTTCCCTCATACCTTCCTCATGTTTAAATAAAACAAGGTCAGGAGTTAGAGACCAGCCTGCAATGCTGCAATGATTTTTTTCCATTGTATATGTGTTTATTTGTGTGTTCCTGTGAGCATTTGCATGCTTATGTGTTCCACTTCCTTATCAAATCTGAGATGTGCCTGATTTCCCAGAATTAGCTATGTTCTAAAGTGACCCTAAGCTTTTTTTTTTAACATAGTGCTTTCACTTTTGTTTCTCCTTATTACAAATGGAATCATAAAAATTTAGAGTTTGAAGGATAGTAACTTCTTATTTTACAGATCCAGAACATTAGGACTAGTGGTTTGCTCGAGCCCTCCTGAGCTCCATACAAAGCTCTTTTTGCAAAATTTTATTCTGGATTTAAATGTTAGGTAAAATTCCATACTCTTCTATTATTTGATTAAAGTTATAACTACACTTGAAGCCATCTGGGAGTCAGTTATATTAAGATCATTGTCCACAAACAAAAAATATATTCAAAGAACAACTTAGAACAGTGTCCCCCTACCAATTAGATATGATATTCAAAATATTTAGTAACTGGCAGGGCATAGTCACTGACGCATTGACACAGACACCGCTGTCAACACCTGGTCTGATTGAAGCATGCAAACTAGGGAAATAACAACCCTTTTTCCAACCCCTTCCAGAAAATTCAGAGTTCGGTGAAATGAATCAGAAATGAATACTTAAAAGATTTGACAAAATTACAAAGAAAAAAGGATATATACTTGAACGTAAGATATCTAATAGTCTATTAATTAGGAATTAACTACTAACACTTAAATACAGAGTCAGTCTAACATATCAGCCATAACTATATCAGCCAGGACAGATATCCAGCACAAAATTACTCAGGCAAAAGAAAAAATTTATTTGTTTGCGCAATCCAAAAGTCCCAGGAGTGTCTTCTGGTACAGTTTAATCCAGATGATCAAGAGATAAAATCAGGACTGGGTGCGGTGGCTCATGCCTGTAATCCTAGTACTTTGAGAGGCCAGGACAGGCAGACCAGACTTGAGGCTAGGAGTGTCAGACCAGCCTGGCCAACATAGCAAAACCCCATCTCTACTAAAAATACAAAAATTAGCCGGGCGTGGTGTTGTGCGCCTGCTCGGGAGGCTGAGGCATGAGAATCGCTTGAACCCCCAGAAGGCGGAGGTTGCAGTGAGCCAAGATTACACCACTCCATTCCAGCCTGGGCAATACAGTGACACTCTGTCTGAAAAAAAAAAAAAAAAAGAGAGAGAGATAAAATCAGAAATGTCTCAGTGTTGGCTTCATTCTCAGCAGATTCTTCCTAAATAGGAGTAAGATTGCCATTATAGTCCAGGATTATAGTCTACCATGTTAGCAAAGAAGGAGAAAGGAAGTGATCTTTTCTGACTCTAACAAATCTTCCAGAGCTGACTCTTTCTCACTGGATTAATTTGGGTTACCTGCCATTCCTAAGCCAATAATGCTTCTGACTGGACCTGGGGATAGAATCAGTTCCACTGAAATTTCATGAATGAAATAAGGAAAGGTGGTTCCCTCAAAGATAAATCTAAGTGTGAATACCAAAAAGAAGAATGGATACTGGATAGACCAAAACTGTAGATATCTACCAAGTGCGTCTCTCAGCAGCCCAACTTCCACATTCATCTTTTTCCTCATATAAACAATCATCAGAATTCTCCCCACTAATACAATTCACCCATCAGCATACAACCAAAAATACATAGAGTTTCTCTTCTAGGAAGGGAGATAGCCTCAAGTTGCACCAGTTCTTGCATACAAGTTCCAGGATCTCTGGGAGATGCACATTTCTCTCTAGACTTTATGTTAATGGCATCTGGACTAAATGACGTATTTATTCATCCTCTATACTCCCAGTGTAAAATAATGGAGGGGAAACGTCATAATAAAAATTCCTTTTGCAAATGGGAAAACGGGGAAACAAAATTCAAAGGACACTGCTTTGTTGCATCAATAAATGCTGCTAAACCAGGATAGCAACTATATCCTGCCAAGACAGTAGAGCAAGTTTCTAAATCAACCAACTTGGCTTTCCCCAGTCCTGCAAGCTAACCATTGATCTTAGCTAAGATGGGCACCAGTGAGAACCCGCTTTCTGAGGGATGCACTGTATTAGTCTGTTTCCAGTTGGTGTAAGTTCTAAGGGTTGGGATTTGCAACAGGGGGTGTATTTTTGCAGGTTTTTGCTCTTATTTTTTTCTTTCTTTCTTTTTTTTTTTTTTTTTTTTTTGAGACAGAGTCTCGCTGTGTTGCCCAGGCTGGAGTGCAGTGGCGCGATCTAGGCTCACTGCAAGCTCCACCTCCCAGGTTCATGTCATTCTGGTTTTTGCTTTCTTAAGTAATAGGCTTGGAATTTATCCCGGAATACATCTCTTAAAGTTTGTTAGCCTCTGTTGACTTATATTTGTTCAGTTCCACAGATCTGGTTAGTTATGACTCTTGCATTAAGAGCTTAATCTGAGGGATTCTGTCATATGCCAACAAGTTCCAGTGCTTTGTCCATTCTGTAAGTTTTCAGCATTCGACCTGGAGAGGGCATCTTGGCAGTGCAAACCTGTAGCCTGGATTGGAGAAGAACAGCTCTCCTTTCCCCTACCCCACATTATACTTCATGGAATGGTTTTAACAATGGTGGTAGTTGCCAACTTTGTCAATAAATAGAGCCCCAAAGGATATGTTGGAGACTGAGAGACTGAAGAATCAAACATCCCCAGATCTCAGTCTTGTATCTAACCACGTTTTCACCCTGATTTGATTCCTCTTACTTTAGCTTGGTGCCGAGAATACAGGTTTCAACCACATTGGATTTCTGGACACAGGCAAGATGTATCTTTCTTAGAAAAGCTTTAATTTTCTTCCCTTACCACTAGCCTTTCAGGTAGGCCACATTTGAGAGATGTTTGTCATTGATAAGACTTTACTGATGTTTGCAGAAAGTGGTCAACACATAATATCCTGATATTTCCCCACTAGATCCCCCCAAATCAGGCCTTGGTATAAGGATATGGTCTGATTTTATTTAAAAACAAGCTGGGAAAAATACCTGCAAAGGACATATTTGATAAAGAACTGTTATCTGAAATTTACAAAGAACTCTTAAAACTCAAAAATAAGGAAACAAATAACTAAATAAAATAGGCAAAAGACCTCAACAGATACCTCATCAAATAAGATATCCCAATGTCAAACATGCATATGAAGAGATATTCAACACCATATGTCATTAAGGAATTGCAAGCTAAAACAGCAATGAGATGCTACTGCATGCCTGTTAGAATGGCCCATATCCAAAACACTAATGACACCAAATGCTGACAAGATTGTGGAGCAATGTTGGTGGGAAGTCAAAATCGTACAGACATTTTGAAAGACAGTATGATAGAGGGAATGCTCACGTCTCCCTAAAATTCATATGTTGAAATCCTATCCCCCATGATGATGGTAGGGAGTGGGATCTTTGGGAGTGAATAGATCATGAGAGCAGGGCCCTCATGAATGGAATTAGCAGCCTTGTAAAAAAAAAAAAAGAAGACCCAAGAGCTAGCAAGTTCTTTCTGCCATATTAGGACACAGCCAGAAGACACCATCTATGAACCAGAGAGCAGGCTCTCACCCAATACCAAATCTGCCACTGCTTTGATCTTAGACTTCTCAGCCTCCAGAACTGTGAGAAATAAATTTCTGTTATTTTGGTATTTGTTAGCTACCCAGTTTATAGTATTTTGTTATAGCAGCCCAAACAGACTAAGAGAGACAATTTGGCAGTTTCTTATAAGTCTAAACATGTTCTTACTATGTGAGTCAGCAATCATATCCTTGGAATTTGCCCAAAGGACTTGAAAACTCATGTCCACACAAAAAGTTGCATATGGATGTTTACAGCAGCCTTATTCATAACTGTGAAAACTTGGAAGCAACCAAGATTTTCTTCAGTGGACGAGAGGGTAAAAAAAGTGTGGTACATCCAGACAATTGAATATTATTCAGCACTAAAACCAAATGAGCTATCAAGCCATGTAAAGACACGGAGGAAATTTAAGTGCATATTGCCAAGTGAAAGAAGCCAATCTGAAAAGGCTACATACTATATGATTCCAACTATATGCCATTCCGGAAAAGGCAAAACTAGGGAAACAGTAAAAAGATGAGTAGTTTCCAGGAGTTAGTGGGGAGACAGAGATAAATAGGTGAAGCACAGGGGATATTTAGTGCATCGGAACTATTTTGTATGATACTACAATGGTGGATACATGTCATTAGATATTTATCAAAATCCATAAGATGACCAACACCAAGAGTGAAGCCTCATGCAAACTATGGACCTTGGGTGATAATGATTCATTATAACAAATGTGCCACTCTGGTGTGGAATGTTGATAGTGGGAGAGGCTAAGCAGTTGTAGGGGCAGGGAATATATGGGCACTCTATTTCCTGATCAATTTTTCTGTGCATCTAAAAATGAACCTAAAAAATAAGGTCTACTAAACAACAACAACAAGAGGTGACAGTTTAGTTGACTGTTTGCTATCACCTATCAAGGATCTTCCCTTCTCAGCCAGGATAGGAAGATTTCCACCCTCCTGTGATACATCTTGTCTTGTACAAATCCAATTTAGGGTTTGTCCCATGTAAAACTTCATTTCCATAGACTAACTTCTAGAATAAAGACTTCTTGAGTCATTCAGAAACCTAACTCAAACTGGCTCAATTGAATGTGAGAATGTATCAGTTTATGTAACTAAAAAGTCTAGGGACTAAGATAAGGCTGCATTCAGGCATAATTAAATCCAAGTACTTAAAAGATGCAGTCAGAAATCAATCTCCTCTCTCTCTCTGTCTCTCAGTCTTCCACTCCATCTCCCACCTCCATGTTGACCTCATTCTTATGAGACCTCTCTCCATGTGGTAACATATGGGTATCAGCATCTCTAGACTCACATTCTGCCACTTAAGCTATACTTAGAAACAATAATCTTCTTTCTCAGAAAAATTCAAGCTGCTACCTCGATTGATAAACTGCAGCCACTTGTGCATGGCTTAAACAACTTTAGTCCATTGTTTCCAAAATTATATTTGCATGTCACTGGTGCTCCCTGAGATGATCTGGTAGTAAGCAAACATTTATTATAATACATGCCAGGGGCTAGAGGGGAGGGACGGATAAATAGGCAGAACATGGAGGATATTTAGGGAAGTGAAATTATTCCGATATTATATTGGTGAATGCATGCTGTTTTACATTTGTCACATGTATAATTATGTGTAAATTTTTATGCATAATAAAAAATAAGTAGTGCCTCAAAATTTTTTTTCTTTTGCTTGGGATGAGGCTGAAATAGGAAGGAAAGTAGTATTCATTTTACAGGATTAGGGTGAGTTTCAGATATGGTGATCAGGCATGTTCATGATCATTTTGTACCTTTACGAATCGAATTATCAAACAAGACTTAACCTGTTCCATGTAGTTGAAGTGCTGTACAGGCAGAAAAAATCTAGTCACTGTTGTATACTGAGGGGAAAATCTTAGGTTAAGTCCCTCAAAGATTCTGGAAAAATTTCATATGGTAATTCATAAGGCAATTTTTGAAAGGAAGTCAATATGTCACAAATTGAATGTAACTTTGAAAATCTTTACCCTACTTTGGAAAAAAGTATCATTTTAGTATAACATAAAATGAACTACATGACTGTCCTCTCCATGGTTAAATTCCTTGTCTGCCAACATTATATAACTGACTTTTGTTTCTTCTGATTTGTTTTCATGCAGTTAATTTTCAAGAGGAAGAGCTTCCTTCCTAAATTTGATTCAAATCTATTCCAGGAACAAACAGAAGCTTAAAGTTTCTTTTCACAGTTTCTTTTAAGGCGCCACTTTTGTTTCTCTGTGGTTTCATTATGAGAAGTAACTCAAAGTGGAAGAAGATTGTTGTAATGTATTGCATTTCTATACTTGAGAGAGTTTTTAAGTTCTTCAGATAAGTATGGTATGTGGTTGCAAGGTAATTTTCACTTATTTGCAATAATACAAATTTGTGAATTTCTGTTATTTGTTAGCTACACAGTTTATAGTATTTTGTTACAGCAGGCCCAACAGAATAAGAGAGACAATAAGCAGATTCTGGGAAAATGGCAGAGTAGGAAGAACCAGGAATCTCTCTCCTGACCTACCCAACTAATGCAGTGGCAGAATATGACTTAACTATCTTGGAACTCTGGAGTAATCTAAGGTTCACAATTTCCAGAGGAAGGCTTAGGTTGTGTATTAGTTTGTTCTTACGCTGTTATGAAGAAATACCTGAGACTGGATGATTTATGAAGGAAAGAGGTTTAATTGACACACAATTCCACATGGGTGGGGAGGCCTCAGGAAACTTATAATCATGGTAGAAGACAAAGGGGAAGCGAGGACCTTCTTCACATGGTGGCAAGAGAGAGAAGAGTGAAGGAAAAACTTCCAAACACTTATAAAACCATCAGATCTTGCGAGAACTCACTATCATGAGAACAGCATGGGAGAAACTGCCCCCATGATCCAATCACCTCCCTCCCTTGACATGTGATGATTACAGGTGCTTCCCTCGAGGTGTGGGGATTACAGTTTGAGATGAGATTTGGTGGGGACACAGAGCCAAACCATATCATTCCACCTCTGGCCCCTCCCAAATCTCATGTCTTTTCACATTTCAAAACCGATCATGCCTTCCCAACAGTCCCTCAAAGTCTTAACTCATTTCAGCATTAACTCAAAAGTCCACAGTCCAAAGTCTCATCTGAGACAAGGCAAGTCTCTTCCACCTATAAGCCTGTAAAATTGAAAGCAAGTTAGTTACTTCCTAAATACAATGGGAGGACAGGCCTTGGGTAAATGCTCCCATTCCAAATGGGAGAAATTAACCAAAACAAAGGGGCGACAGGCCCCATGCAAGTCTGAAATCCAGCAAGGCAGTCCTTAAATCTTAAAGCTCCAAAATGATCTTTTTTGACTCCATGTCTCACACCCAGGACACACTGATGCAAAGAGTGGGCTCCCATGGCCTTGAGTAGCTTCTTCACAGGCTGGCATTGAGTGCCTATGGCTTTTTTAGGTGCACGGTGCAAGAAGGAGGTGAATCTACCATTCTTGGGTCTGGAGAACAGTGACCCTCTTCTCACAGCTCCCCTAGGCAGTGCCCCAGTGGGGACTCTGTGTGGGGGCTCCTACCCCATATTTCCCTTCCACACTGCCCTAGCAGAGGTTTTCCATGAGGGCTCTGCCCCTGTAGCAGACCTCTGCCTGGCCATCCAGGCATTTTTATACCTCCTTTGAAATCTAGGCAGACATTCCCAAACCTCAATTCTTGACTACCATGTACCCACAGGCCTAACACTACAGGGAAGCTGCCAAGGTCTGGGGCTTGTACCCTCTGAAGCCACAGCCTGAGCTGTACATTGGCTCCTTTTAGCTATGGCTGGAGCTAAAGTGGCTGGGATGCATCATACCAAGTCCCAAAGCTGCACACAGCAGTGGGGGCCTGGGCCTGGCCCAATAAATCATTTTTAACCTCCTAGGCCTCCAGGCCTGTGATGGGAGGAGCTGCCGCCAAGATCTCTGACAGGCTCTGGAGATATTTTCCCCATTGTCTTTGTGATTAACATTGGGATCCTCATTACTTATGCTAATTTTTGCAGCCAGTTTGAATTTCTCCCCAGAAAATGGGTTTTTCTTTTCTACTGCATGGTCAGGCTGCAATTTTTCCAAACTTTTATGCTCTGCTTCCCTTTTAAACGTAAGTTCCAATTTCAGGTCATCTCTCTCAAGTTCAAAGTTCCACAGAAATCTAGGGCAGGGGCAAAATGTCACCAGTCTCTTTGCTAAAGCATAGCAAGAGTGACTTTTCTCCATTTCTCAATAAGTTATTAATCTCCATCTGAGACCACCTCAGCCTGGACTTCATTGTCCATCCATATCATTATCAGCATTTTGGTCAAAACCATTCAACAAGTCTCTAGGAAGTTCCAAACTTTCCCACATCTTCCTGTCTTCTTCTGAGCCCTCCAAATTGTTCCAATCTCTAACCATTACCCAGTTCCAAAGTTGCTTCCACATTTTTTTGTATTTTTGTAGCAGTACCCCACTACCTTGGTACCAATTAACTGTATTAGTCTGTTTTCACACTGCTATAAAGAAGTACCTGAGACTGGGTAATGTATAAAGGAAAGGGGTTTAATTGAATCACTGTTCCACATGGCTGGGGAGGCCTCAGGAAGCTTACAATTATGGCAGAAGGGGAAACAGCCACCTTCTTCACAAGGAAGCAGGAGAGAGAGCACACAGGAAAAAACTGCCACTTTTAAAACCAGCAGATGTCATAAGAACTCACTCATTATCATGAGAACAGCATGGGGGAAACCACCCCCATGATCCATTCACCTCCCTCCCTTGACATGTGGGAATTACATGTTCCTCCCTCAACACAAATAGGGATTATAATTCAAGATTCGATTTGTCTGGGGACACAGAGCCAAACAATATCAGGTTGTAAATTGCAGTTAGTTTCAGTCATTGTCAGCTGTAGCCATCCCTTACCCTCAGCGGCTTGGCAGGCAGCTGTGCAGATGATCCTGGAGTAGCTTACACATAGCTTTGCCCAGTGTGGACAAAGGAATGCTGTACTCTAATTATTGGGGATCTGTGCTCTAAATTGTTGCTTCTAAACATAGAAGTACAGAAAAAGGAAACCACTGTTGCATGTTCTCTTATTGTTGCCCCCCTCCCCCACCGACCCCACTTCCCCCACCCTCTAGTGACTTCCAGGAAATTTGAAAGGCAAGTGCTTTTTCCCCACTTTCATTTTTCTCCTTTCTTTTCTGGAGGGTCAGACATTAAGGACTAGGACATTTGAAATTAAGTCACCACATAAACCCGGGGAAAGGGGTACAGACTCAGAAAACACTTGAGAAGACCTTACGTTTGCACCTCAGGCTAATGCTCAGCACACAGATAGCCTACAACCACCCCACAAAAACCAACCCCAAAACAAAACTCGGCAAGTCCTGGGAAGGGAGAGAATCTGATTTTTAAAGTTATCACATTACTAGACCCAAATGTTCAGTTTTGAACAAAAAAATCACAAGGTATATGTATTGGTCCATTTTCATGCTGTTGATAAAGACATACCTGAGATTCAGCAATTTACGAAAGAAAGAGGCTTCTTAGACTTACAGTTCCAAATGGCTGGGGAGGCCTTACGATCATGGCGGAAGGCAAGGTGGAGCAAGTCACATCTTACGTGGAAGGCAGCAGGCAAAAAAATAACTTGTGCAGGGAAACTCCCGTTTTTAAAACCATGAGATCTTGTGAGTCCCATTCACTGTCAAAAGAACAGCACAGGAAAGACCCACCCCTGTTGATTCAGTCATCTCCCATCGGGTCCCTCTCATAACACATGGGAATTATGGGAGCTACAAGATGAGATTTGGGTGGAGACACAGAGCCAAACTGTATCAGTATACAAAGAAGCAGTAAAGCATGGACCATTCAAAGGAAAAAAAGAAATCAACAGAAACTTCCTTGAAAAGACCTGATGGCTGGTGAATCTACCAGACATAAAAACAACGGTCTTAAAGATGCTCAGAGAACTAGAGGAAGATGTAGAGAAGGTCAGGAAAACAACACATGAACAGGACGTATCCCATGACGCTCATCCAAATGAAACCATTTGGTGGGGTGCAACCCCAGAATCACGATGGGTGCCTTGTGTACAGGAGGCCAAACTTTATATAAGTATTGTACATTTAGCAGTGGGAACTACAATCCCTGGCCATGGTAAAGGTGCTAGAGGAATCCACAATTAAGTGCATGGCAACTTTCCATGTGACAGTGTTAGTTTTGAATCTCGCAGTGTCACCTGTCATTCTTGCCCACAACTGGAAATGACAGTGACCCCAGTGTCCCCAGTGTTCAAGAGACTCATAATAGTTTGTGTAGTACCCTTTTCCCCTGCCTCTCAAACTAGGGCACAGGCGTTCAGTTCCCACTGGTGGCCCCAAATCTTGGCCCCATCTTTAGTCTGTCTTCTCCAAAGATGTTAGCTCAGGATATAATGGTGGAAGTGGTTCCTTTTCAAGTAGTTTCTCTCTGGCACCCACCAATGCCTCTGCTGTTTTGAACCCTTCAAGTGTTGGTGGGAACACTCAGGGCAGAGAACCAGTCAGCAAAATCAACTCAGTCTAACAAGCATTCCTCTTGCGGTTCAATTGCTTGAACCAATCGTTTAACATTAAGATCTCAGGATTTGGGCTGGGCGCTAGTGGCTCATGCCTGTAATCCCAGAACTTTGGGATCTGCTGCACAGATCAACCCATCACCTAGGTATTAAGCCCAGCATCCATTAGCTATTCTCCCTGATGCCCTCCCTTCCCCATCCCCTGACAGGCCCCAGTGTGTGTTGTTCCCTGCCATGTGTCCATGTGTTCGCATTGTTCAGCTCCCACTTCAGGCCGAGGCGGGCGGATCACGAGGTCAGGAGATCGAGACCATCCTGGCTAACACGGTGAAACCCTGTCTTTAATAAAAATACAAAAAATTAGCCAGGCGTGGTGGCAGGCATCTGTAGCCCTAGCAACTCAGGAGGCTGAGGCAGGAGAATGGCATGAACCCAGGAGGCAGAGCTTGCAGTGAGCCAAGATTGTGCCACTGCACTCCAGCCTGGGTGACAGAGCGAGACTCCGTCTCAAAAAAAAAAAAATCTCAGGATTCATTACAGAAATGCAAAGCAAAATGACAATGAAATACCATCTCATGCCAGTCAGAATGGCGATTATTAAAAAATCAAGAAACAACAGATTTGGCAAGGTTGCAGAGAAAAAGGAATGCTTTTACACTGTTGGTAGGAGTGTAAATTCGTTCAACCATTTTGAAAAATGTGGTGATTCTTCAAAGATCTAGAGGCAAAAATACCATTTGACCCAGCAATCCCATTATTGGGTATATACCCAAAGGAATATAAATAATTCTATTAATATTATAAAGATATATGCACATGTATGTTTATTGCAACACTATTCACAATAGCAAAGACATAGATTCAACACAAATGCCCATCAATGATAGACTAGTTAAAGAAACTATGGTGCATATACATCATGGAATACTATGCAGCCATAAAAAGGAATAGGATCATGTCCTTTGCAGGGACATGAATGGAGCTGGAAACCGTTATTCTCAGCAAACTAATGCAGGAACAGAAAGCCAAACACCACCTGTACTCACTTATAAGTAGGAGCTGAACAATGTGAATACATGGACACATGGCAGGGAACAACACACAATGGGGCCTGTCGGGGTAGGGAAGGGAGGGCATCAGGGAGAATAGCTAATGGATGCTGGGCTTAATACCTAGATAATGGGTCGATCTGTGCGGCAAACCACCATGGCACACGTTTACCTATGTGACAAACCTGCACATCCTGCACATGTACCCCTGAACTTAAAATAAAAGTTGAAGAAGAAAAAAAGAGGAACGTGATAACCTTCAAAAAAGTCTCAAGATCCATAAATGCTTGAGGGGATGGGTACCACATCTTTCATGATGAGATTATTATGCATTGCATGCCTATATCAAAACATCCCACATACCCCATAAATATGTACGCCTACTATGTACCCACAACAATTAAAATAAAAAAATATAAAAAACAAAGAAAAAGAGAAAAAAATAAAATAAAAATTTAAAATAAAAACAAAAGATTTCAGTTTCCTCCCTCAGCTCATACTGATCCCTCAGTTGTTCAATAGGGATCCCATCTGTCTCTTCCTTAGCCACCATGCTTAAGCAGCCACCATGCTTAACAGCCATAGCCACACGACTCTTCCCTTGGGTCCAGGGCAGCCTGAGGCCTTCCTTTTCTGTGGCTCCTTTTATCTTTTAGTGGGCTCCTGATGGTGGTTTGGAGCTCCATTTGCTATGTGATGAGGGAGTAGCCACCACTCACCACTGTGGCTGTGTTTTTGGCAGCGCCCCACATGGGCACATTATGGTACAGTTTTCCAACGATGTCCCCCGTAGTCATTCCTAGGGAGACTAAGAGGGTTAATGGAGCCCACCTGTTGGATGCCCCCATTTTATTAAGTCGTGTATTTGCTGTCAAGCAGTGGTACATCATCTAAATCCCCTTCTGGATTGATAGAGCCATAGAGGAGGCTCCTGGGGCTCTCACCAAGTCAAAGGGTGCTTGAAAGTCTTTCTAGAATTGTTTCAATTTAGGAAGATCACCAGGTTTCAAGCAGATTGGTTTGTCACCAGATTGGTTTGTCACCTGTCCAATCCTGAGGAGTTGGCCTATTCAATGTGGGCAAAGATCCATTATAACAATTAATCCCATCCTCTCTCATCTGGTCCAGGCTTCACTCATTACAGGAGAAGAGAGTCTGGGTTGCTCCCTCATCAATCAAGTGCAGAGTCCAGGAAGGTATGAATTCGCTGGGCTTTTGGTCATATTGCTGTTTCTTCTTATCCAGCTCAATCTCAGAGAAACTTCTTATTTTAACTTGGGCAACATTGGCAATGCTGTCATTAATGTACTGCTAGGTAAAGACTGGGGGTAACTGGTCAGGGGGTGGTTTAGACCAAGGTGGCCCCAGGCTGGCAGCACAAAGGCAGCGACTCAGTAACCAGGAGATTGTTTGGTTTTGGACTTTCCCACCTCCTTAATTTTTGCCCACATCCCTCTAGTTAATTCATCAAGGTTCTCAGGGCTATTCTCACTATCCCATTTACCTCTGTTGGCAGATCAAAATGTATCTAGGCCTTATTGAGAGCTTTATCACCTTCAATATCTCCAGGAGCCAGCACCACCCTGGATGGGGTCTCACTTCCACTATGCCATGAAAAGGTGTCTTCTCAGAGACCCTGCTCACTGTACCAAATATGTTTCACCCTCCACTGGATGGTCAGGCTGTGTGCAGGGTAAACTATAACATGAATGTGGCCAAGGTTAAAAGTCAAATAAATGCTGTCCAGGGAAGGACCAGTGCATGACTTGAGGTCTCTGAGAACAGACAATATGCATATCAAGCTCAACTGGTACATTGTTTACTTACAGCAAGAGGAGAAGAGGGAATGCATAAATCCAGCCCCTTGCAGTGTGTCAGTCTCCATGGCTAATGGATTCACCCTGCAGCCAATGTAGGCAGTGCGGCTAACAATTTGTGAACTATTTTAGAGTTTGGAATACCAAAGGCACAGATGACCTCAAACTGTAGTTTTCTTTTCACTGACCTTGAAATATCTAAGGAAAATAATGGAAAATGCTCTTCTTGCCTAGATGAATTTATGGGTGTGTGTGTGTGTGGGTGTGTCTGTGTGTGTTGCCTGTGTGTGTAGTTGAGAGAGATAGAGATGAGGCTTACTACCAAATACTCAAGACCTCATTGAGAACTTTAAGAAAAAAAGTCTTAAGAAGCCTCCTTAATTACCTGTAAAACCTCTCTGGAAAATGACCTCAAGATACCCTTTGATGTCTCTCCCTACCACACTCCTTTGACAGGGGCATAAATTCCCTAGTCAATTAGGCTTCCCTCCTCTTCTGCCCATGAAATCCCCTAAAACTCCCTGCGCTGAATCCTCATGAACCTCCCCATTCACTATCCCAGAAGATGCCAGGATCCCATCAATCATGTTGCCTCATAATAAGATTGAGTCCTCAAGGCACTATCTCTAACACCCCAAAAACCTTAGGGGGGCCCACTCAATATCAATATCTGGGGCTCAGTATCCAGGACATTTGATCTCCATAGCTGGAAATTGGAAATAGGTCAACATGAAGTAGCTGTGTCCTCAGAGTAAGGCTAGATTGCAAAAGGCAGAGGATAAAGTAATTGCTTGTATATATTTATTTATTTATTTATTTATTTTATTATTGTTTTTAAGAGACAGAGTCTTGCTGTGTCACCAAAGCTGGAGTGCAGTGGCCTGATTATAACTCACTGCAGCCTGGAATTCCTGGGCTCAAGAGATCCTCCTTCCTGCCTCAGCCTCCTAAAGTGTTAGGATTATAGGCATGAGCCACCATACTGGCCGATTGCTTATATTTGAATGAAAGCATCTGAACCTAGCAGGAAACACTGACACTGAAATTTAAATAAGTATAACTGGTAACAGGCTTTGTCTTTATATGTGAGGTAATCTTTGTTTTATAGATTTAAAAATATTTTTCACAGAAGCTTAAATATTAATATTGATATATTTTAAGATTATTGAATAGTAGAAGGTATAATTTGCTTGCCTAGCTCATGCATGTAAATCTTACATATGCCATTCATTTAGTTACTGATGAGGGATCAATTGGTGCTTAAATGAAACACAAAGAATTGTGGAGATTCAGTAGCTGACTTTTTTTCCCTCCTATCTTCTATGGGACTTTAGCCCTCCTCTGAAGAAAGACTAGAAGCTTCTAAAACCTGAGAACAGTCATTTGTAAGAATATTACCAACCTCAAATTAAAAAGAAATAGAAACAATCATATATTAGATACTCATTTCTATAGAACACAGAAATGAAGACTAGTAAGTGACTTTAGACCAAAATAAGTTGACCATATATCTATAGTAGCCTGCATTCTAAGGACAGAAAGGAAAAAAAAAATAGAAAACCTTGGACTTCATCCTATCATCTCATTGTTTGTACTAATTGTTTTATTTTTTCAGAACTATTTTATTTTTATTGTTATGTAAAACAAATAAGCATAATGTTTCTTTTGTTAAAAATCAAGATTTTCAGTATAAGAGAAATGGAAGTACAATCATAGAAAACAAGGAAGAACACAATAACATAACTGAATTAGAAATATTTATATAAACTCACGACTTTAAGAGAAAAAATATATATTCTAGAACTATCTACTAAATAGTTTACTAATGATAGAATTGCAGATGGGACACACTGTGTATGCTTTTTACTCATAATAACGTTTATAATGTTATCATTCCACAAAAACAAACCAGAGCTTCTTGGAAAAATAGCCAATTCCATTTCTGGGTCTAGGACAGTTCAAGACACATAAGACAGGTAAGCTTTCAAAGATAACTTTGCAGAAGCCATAATAAAAAGTCTCCCAGGAAAGAAAAGCCCAGGACCTGATGGTTCCACTGCTGAATTCTACCAAACATTTTAAGAAGACCTAATACCAATCCTACTCAAGCTATTCTGAAAAAATAGAAGAGGAAGGAACACTTCTAAACCCATTCTGTGAGACCAGTATTACCTTCGTACCAAAACCAGAAAAAAAAACACATCAAGAAAAGGAAATTACAAGCCAATATCTCTGATGAACATTGATGCAAAAATCCTCAACAAAATAATAGCAAATCAAATTCAACAATACATTAGAAAGATTATTCATCATCACCAAGTGCAGCTCATCCCAGGGATGCAAGGATGGTTCAATATACACAAATCAATCAATGTAATACATCATATCAACAGAATGAAGGATAAAAGCCATATGATCATTTCAACTGATGCTGAAGAAACATTTGATGAAATTCAACATCCCTTCATTATAAAAACCCTCAAAAAATTGTGTATAGAAGGAACATCCCTCAACATAATAAAAGCCATATATGATAGACCCTCAGCTAGTATCATTCTGAAGAGGGAAAAGCTGAAAGCCTTTCCTCTAAGATCTGGAACACGATAAGGATGCTCGCTTTCTCCACTGTTATTCAACACAGTACTGGAAGTCCTAGTTAGAGCAATCAGACAGGAGAAAGAAATAAAGGGCATCCAAATTGGAAAGGAAGAAGTCAAATTATTCTGTTTGCAGATGATATGATCTTATATTTTGAAAAGCCTAAAGATAACACAAAAAGGCCAGGTGCGGTGGAGGCTCATGCCTGTAATCCAGCACTTTGGGAGGCCGAGGGGGGCAGATCATAAGGTCAGGAGATTGAGACCATCCTGACTAACACCGTGAAACCCCGTCTCTACTAAAAAATACAAAAAAATTAGCCGGGCATGGTGGTGGGCACCTGTGGTCCCAGCTACTCGCGAGGCTGAGCTAGGAGAATGGCGTGAACCCGGGAGGCGGAGCTTGCAGTGAGCCGAGATGGCGCCACTGCACTCCAGCTTGGGCGACAGAGCGAGACTCCGTCTGAAAAAAAAAAAAAGTATTAGAACCGATAAACAAATTCAGTAAATTTGCAGGATACAAAAGCAACTTATGAAAATCAGTAGCATTTATATATGCCAACAGTGAACAATTTGGAAAAGAAATTTAAAAAGTAATCTCATTGACAATACTCACAAATAAAATTAAAATTAAATACCTAGAAATTTGCTTAGCCAAAGAAGTGGAAGGTCTCTATGATGAAAACTGTAAAATACTAATGTGGAAATTGAAGAAATTACCAAAAAATGAAAAAATGTTCCATGTTCATGGATTGGAAGAATCAACATTGTTAAAATGTCCATACTGTCCAGAGCAATGTACAGATTTAATGCAATCCCTATCAAAATACCAATGGCATTCTTCATAGAAATAGAAAAAACTATTCTAAAATTTGTACAAAACCATAAGAGACCCAGAATAACCAAAGCTATCTGTATTAGTTCATTCTTGCACTGCTGTAAAGAAAGACCTGAGACTTGGTAATTTATAAAGTAAATAAGTTAAATTGGCTCATGGTTCTGCAGGCTATACAGGAAGCATAGAGGCTTCTTGGGAGAGCTCAGGAAAGTTTCAGTCATGGTGGAAGGTGAAGAGGAATCAAACATGTCTTATATGGCTGAAGCAGGAAAAAGTGAGGGAGGTGCTACACACTTTTAAACAACCGTATTTCGAGAGAACTCATTCACTATCATGAGAACAGCAAGGGGGAAATCTGCCCCCATGACCCACTCACCTCTTGCTATACTTCACCTCCAACACTGGGATCACAGTTCAACCTGAGACCTGGGTGCAGATACAGATTCAAACCATATCACTATCCCAAGCAAAAATAACAAAACTGAAGAAATCACCATACTTTACTTGAAATTATACTACAGAGCTACAGTAACCAAAACAAGCATGGTATTGGCATAAAAACAGACACATAGATCAATGAAACAGAATCAATAACCTAGAAGCAAATCCACACAGCTACTGTGAACTCATTTTTAACAAAGGTGCCAAGAACGTACACTGGGGAAAAGACTGTTTCTTCAATGAATGGTGCTTGGAAAACTGGATAACCATATGCAGAAGAGTGAAACTAGACCCCTATCTCTCGCCACATACAAAAATCAATTCAAAATGGATTAAAGACTTAAATCTAAGACCTCAAACTATGAAGCTACTACAAGAAAACACTGGGGGAAATCTCCATGACATTGGTCTGGGCAAAGATTTATTGAGCAATACTCCACAAGCACATGCAATCAAAGCAAAAATGAACAAGTGAGATCACACCAAGTTAAAAAGCTTCTGCACAGCAAAGGAAACAATGAACAAAGTAAACAGACAACCTACAGAATGGGAGAGAATATTTGCAAACTACCACTCTGACAAAGGATTAATAACCAGAATACATAAGGAACTCAAACAACTCTATAGGAAAAAAATCCAATAATCCAATCAAAAAATGGGCAAAAGATTTGAATAGACATTACTTAGAAGACTCATGAATGGCAAACAGGAATATGAAAAGGTGCTCAGCATTATTGATCACCAGAGAAATTCAAATCAAAACTACAGTGAGATATCATCTCACTGTAAGTTAAAATGGCTTGTAGCCAAAAGACACGCAGTAACAAACGCTAGTGAGGATGTGGAGAAAAGGGAACCCTCATGCAATGTTGGTGGGAATGTAAATTAGTACAACCACTATGGAGAACAGTTTGGAGGTTCCTCAAAAAACTAAATAGAGCTATCATAACATAGCAATAACAACAATAGAGCAATCCCATTGCTAGGTATATACTCAAAAGAAAGGAAATCAGTATGTTGAAGAGATCTCTGCACTCCCATGTTTGTTGCAGCACAGTTCACAATAATTAAGATTTGGAAGCAGCCTAAGAGTCTATCAACAGATGAATGGGTAAAGAAAATGTAAAAGGAAGTGAAAGATCTATACAGGGAGAACTACAAACCACTGCTCAAAGAAATTAGAGGTAAAACTGACAGATGGAAAAGGAAGAATAGGAAGAAGCAATATTGTTAAGATGGCCATACTGCCCAAAGCAATTTATAGATTCAATGCTATTCCCATTAAACGACCATTGACATTCTTCACAGAACTAGAAAATCTATTTTAAAATTCATATAAAACAAAAAATGGCCTGATTAGCCAAGGCAATACTAAGCAAAAAGAACAAAGCTGGACACATCATGCTACCTGACTTCAAACTATACTACAGGGCTACAGTAACCAAAACAGCATGGCAGCATGGTACTAGTACAAGAACAGACACATAGACCAAGGGAATAGAATAGATAACAAAGAAATAAGGCTGCACACCTACAACCATCAGATCTCCGACAAAGCTGACAAAACAAGCAATGGGGAAAGGACACACTATTCAATAAATGGTGCTGGGATAACTTGATAGCCATATGCAGAAAATTGGAACTGGGCCCCTTCCTTACACTATGTACAAAAATCAACTCAAGATGGATTGAAGACTTAAATGTAAAACCCAAAATTGTAAAAACTCTGGAAGATAACCTAAACAATACCATCCAGGACATAGGCATGGGAAAAGATTTCATGATGAAGATGCCAAAAACAATTGCAACAAAAGCAAAAATGGGCAAATGGGATCTAATTAAGCTTAAGAGCTCTGCATAGCAAAAGAAACTATCAACAGGGCAAACAGACAACCTACAGAATGAGAGAAAATTTTTGCAAACTATGCATCTGAGAAAGGTCTAACATCCAGCATCTATAAGGAACTTAAATTTACAAGAAAAAAAACCCTCAATAACAAGTGGGCAAGGGACATAAACAGACACTTCTCAAAAGAAGACATACATGTGGCCAAAAAGGCATATGAAGAAAAATTCAACATCGCTGAACATTAGAGAAATGCAAATCACAACTATAATGAGATACCATCACACACCAGTCAGAATGGCTATTATTAAAAAGTCAAAAAATAATGGATGCTGGCAAGGTTGTGGAGAAAAAGGAATGCTTATACTCTGTTGGTGGGAGTATAAATTAGTTCAATCATTGTGGAAGACAGTGTGGTGATTCCTCAAAAACATAAAGTTAGAAATACCATTTGACCCAGCAATTCCATTACTGGGTATATACCCAAAGAAATATAAATTGTTGGCTGGGAGTGGTGGCTCACTCCTGTAATCCCAGCACTTTGGGAGGCCAAGGCAGGTGTATCACCTGAGGTCGGGAGTTCAAGACCAGCCTGACCAACATGGAGAAACCCCATCTCTACTAAAAATACAAAATTAGCCGGGCATGGTGGCACATGCCTGTAATCCCAGATACTTGGGAGACTGAGGCAGGAGAATCACTTGAACCTGGGAGGCGGAGGTTGCAGTGAGATGAGATCACAACATTGCACTCCAGCCTGGGCAACAGAGTGAGATTCTGTCTCAAAAAATAATTATAAATTGTTCTACTATAAAGATACACGAATGAGTGTATGTTCATTGCAGCACCATTCACAATAGCAAAGACATAGAATCATCCCAAATGCCCATCAGTGATAGACCAAATAAAGAAAATGTGGTACATGTAGACAATGGAATACTATGCAGCCATAAAAAGGGATGAACTCATGCTCTTCGCAGGAACATGGATGGAGCTGGAGGCCATTATCTTTAGCAAACTAACACAGGAACAGAAAACCAAATACTGCATGTTCTCACTTATAAATGGAAACTAAATGATGACAACACATGGACCCACATAGAGGGGAACAATACACACTGGGGCCTATCAGAGGGTGGAGGGTGGGAGAAGGGAGAGGATCAGGAAAAATAACTAATGGATACTAGACTTAATTCCAGAGTGATGAAATAATCTGTACAACAAATCCTTATGACACACATTTACCTATGTAACAAACCTGCACATCCTGCACATATACCCCTGAACTTAAAAGTTAAAAGAAAATGTAGTACATATTCACAATGGAGTACTGTTCCATCACAAAAAAGAATGAGATCTTGTCATTTGCAGCAGCATGAACGGACTGGAGATTATTATGTTAAGTGAAATAAGCCAGGCACAAAAAGACAAACATTTCATGTTCTTGCTTACTTGTGGGATCTAAAAATCAAAACAATTGAACTCACAGACATAGAAGAAGGATGCTTACCAGAGGCTCAGAGGGTAGTTGGGACTTGGGGGTGGGGTGGGGGAGATGGGTATGGTTAATGGGTCCAAAACATAGTTAGAGTCAATGAATAAGATCTACTATTTGATAGCACAACAGGACCACTATAGTCAATAATAACTGTACATTTAAAAATAAGGAAAAGAGTGTAACTGGGTTGATTGTAATACAAAGGATAAATGCTTGAGGGGATGGATACCCCATTCTCCATGATGTGCTTATTACACATTGCATACCTGTATCAAAACATCTCATGTACCCCATAAGTATATACACCTACTGTGTACCCACAAAAATTTAAAAATTAAGAATTTAAAAATATTAAAAATAGGCTGGGTGCGGTGGCTTAAGCCTGTAATCCCAGAACTTTGGGATGCCGAGGCAGGTGGATCACAAGGTCAGGAGATCGAGACCATCCTGGCTAACACAGGGAAACCCCGTCTCTACTAAAAATACAAAAAATTAGCTGCGCGTGGTGGTGGGTGCCTGTGGCCCCAGCTACTCGGGAGGCTGAGGCAGGAGAATGAAATGAACCCGGGAGGTGGAGCTTGCATTGAGCGGAGACCGCACCACTGCACTCCAGCCTGGGTGACAGAGCGAGACTCCGTCTCAAAAATAAAATAAAATAAAATAAAAATAAAAAGATAAATTTGCATATAGGCACCTTAAGAAGGTTTTTAAAAAATTTTTACACAGACTGGGTGCAGTGGCTCATGCCTGTAATCCCAGCACTTTGGGAGGCTGAGGTGGGCAGATCATGAGGTCAGGAGTTCAGACCAGCCTGACCAACAGGCGAAACCCCGTCTCTACTAGAAATATAAAAATTAGCTGGGCATGGAGGCGCATGCCTGTAACATGAATGTTTTATTTGCCTTAATTTATACATTCTATATTTACCATGAGCACAATAGTTATAAAGAGGCCCGGCCAGGCACGGTGGCTCAAACTTGTAATCTCAGCACTTTGGGAGGCTGAGGTGGGTAGATCACCTGAGGTCAGGAGTTCGAGACCAGCCTGGCCAACATGGTGAAAACCCCGTCTCTACTAAAAATGCAAACATTAGCTGGGCATGGTGGTGCACGCCTGTAATCCCAGCTACTCAGGCAGGAGAATCGCTTGAACCCGGGAGGTGGAGGTTGCAGTGAGCCGAGATTGTGCACTTGCACTCCAGTGCAACAAGAGCAAAACTCCATCTCAAAAAAAAAAGAAAAATTTACACAATTTCTGTCTTACAGAGAAGTTGCAAGATTATTACTAAGAATTCCTGAGTGCTCTCCATCTGGAATTACCCAAATATTAACATTTTACTGCGTTGCTTGCTTTTTTTTTTCTTTCTCAATACATTTTCTGAATTCTTTGAGAATAAGTTGCAGGCATGGTACCCTTTAGTACTTAAATACTTTAGTATATTCTTTAATATAACCATGCAACAATAATCAAATCAAGACATTAACATTGATCTAATTCTACTATCTGATATACAGACCTTATTCAGATCTAGCCAATTATTCCAATAATGGTCTTTATAACAGATGAAAGTCTTGGATCAGGCACTACATTCAGCTGTCACGGCCTTTTAGTCTCCATTATTCTCAAACATTTCCTCAGTCTTACCGTGTTTCATGATATGGACATTTTTGAAGAGTACAGATGACTCATTTACTAGAATGTCCCTCAATTTGGGGTTGTCAGACCGTTAAATTGAGGTTATACAACCTTTGTCAGGAATATCATTCAAGTGTTGTGCTCTGCTCAGTGCAGCGTGCTAGGAGGCACATGATGTTGATTCGTACCTTTGCTGGTGTTGCTGACTTTGGCCAATTGTCTAAGGTGGTGTGGTAGAGGTTCACTTCTGTATATTTCTTCTTAATATTTTAATTTGCTTTGTTGGGTCTTACAACAACAACAAAAAACAAATTCACATTTGCTAGGAGCTAAAGGTAAAAAATTAGAAAGCATTCCAGCAGGGATTACGTTTAAGAAAGTATTGTACAAACTAGAAAAGCCTTTAAATGAATGCAAAAAGTATTATTCTTATTTTTAGCAATGATTTTTCTTTTAACATTTCCTAGTAAAAAAAATGATTTAAGGTGAAAAAGTAAGTCTGTCTGCTTTTTCATCTGAATTTTGTCAGATAAAATAACCAAATGAAAAGAGAATCAATCCAAAGCCTGTATTTCCTCATAAAGAATAGTCTATTGTTCTCAGTCTTGTGATCTCCAATCATTCACTTACACCTTGAAAAAAATTACTTATAGTCTCTGAGTTTTAATTTCTTCTTCTATGAGAGAGACAGAGAGAGAAAGAGAGGAAAAAAAGAGAAAGAGAGAGGAGAGAGAGGACACTCAGGTTGCAGAATAGTTGAGAAGAATAGATATAAAATACAATGCACTTAGCATAACGCTTAGCAAGGTTAAGGTGAAAAGAAGGCAAATTACTGTGAAAGTAGCGCCCATCAGTACTTCGTGTGAGTCTCCATGAGGCAGGTAGATAAATATTTATTATTATCTGCATTTTATATGTGGCAATCATCTCCAAGATCACATAAATCAAACCAGTTATGAGGGTGGTACCTGCTTTGGGGTTGCCTTTTTATTGTTTTTTCTTCTACATTATGGCTATAACCTTGTGCTTTCTGCCTGAAGAATTCACTTCACATTTAAACGTATATACAGTTTTGTTTACATTTCTCATAGGTTCAATTCAGGTCAAAATGTGACCACACAAAAGGTAATAAGAGCCTCTATTTAATATCAGTTAAATCATCTGTTCTTTTATCTTCTGGGTTGAAAAATAAGTTCCCAATAGCAAGAAAGGTGACCTGAGTTCAACTGCAAAACAAAGTCATATATCAGTGCTGTAGGCACCAGCAATAAACATTTCTTTAATTTGAATTCAGGGGCATTCTCACCATCAGACTAGTACAATCAAAACAACATTGCTTTTCTACCGAGTAACCTTCACTTTGACCAGTGACCGTACAAACATGTATGATTCATTTCACTGAAAATATATCACCTTGAAAACCTCCCTGAGTGGCCAATAAGTTCATTTCTGTGACACTTAGTTTTCTGATTGCACCTTAACTTTTACCAAACTGTTTCTCAGATCTAGATCTTTGCCTTTTGAATACACTTGCCAAAGTATGAAGTAAAAGTTATTTTCTTTGGTTGTTTATTCTTTGGTTAGGTATTACATAATCCAGAAACCACAGAAAAACAGAACATTGTTAAAGTTAAACAGCTTAAGTTGCCTAATAACTTGCGAAAAGCCAAATTAATAGGAAAGAATGCCAATAGGAAGCTCTCAAGGCAGCTCCTATTCCTGGAATTTTCCGTCTCAGGAAATCCAGGCGTAGGATAGTAAAACCACTCAGACGTAATCACCCTGCCTTATTCCTCAGATGAGTTTCTCTCTCTCTCTCTCTCTCTGTCTCTTTTCTCTCTCTCCCCCACTCTCCCACTCCGCCCTTTTACTGTTTCCTGACTCATTTCCTCACACTTTTTGTGGAAACAAGTTAACATTAATTTTAAAAGTGAAAGCTGGATGCCTATGAATCTTAAAACAACTTTTGAGAAAAAAAAAAAACCTCTTTGTCCTTCTTCTTACATATAAATGCAGGTAATATTATGGGGTCTTTGCTTGCTTTACTTCTTTAGCAAGACAGGACCATTGTTATTAGGATTCTGCACTAAGCCATACTGACTTGATGTTCATCATCAAGGCCAGCTGTGGCTCCATTTATTTTATTTTATTTTTTATTATTTTTTGAGATAGAGTTTTGCTCTTGTCGCCCAGGCTGTAGTGCAGTGGTGCGATCTCGGCTCACTGCAACTTCCGCCTTCCAGGTTCAAGTGATTCAGCCTTCCAAGTAGCTGGGATTACAGATGTTCGCCACCACGCCCGGCTAATTTTTGTATTTTTATAGACATGGGATTTCACCATGTTGGCCAGACTGGTCTGGAACTCCTGACCTCAGGTGATCCACCAGCCTTGGCCTTCCAAAGTGCTGAGATTACAGGCGTGAGCCACTGCGCCCAGCCTCAATTTTAAAATGGGTAAAGTTGAGCTTCATTTCCTCCTTCTCAAAAATGTTTTCCATTTGCCCCTGATGACTCTTGAGTTTCAGGTTCTGTAGATCTTTTCAGTCAATGGTAAAAACACTTTGACAAACTCACTCATTCATACCAGATATTGGCGACCTTATATATAAGTGTTCCCAGAGCACTGCCACTTTCAGAGACTATATTAAAATACAATCATGTGCCGCTTAACAATGATGGGGATGTGTTCTGAGAAATGTGTCATTAGGTGATGTTGTCATTGTGTAAATATCGGATTGTGCTTACACAAACCTAGATGTTATAGCCTTCCAGACCCAGGCTATAGTTTATTGCTCCTAGGCCACAAACCTGTACAGCATGTTACTGTACTAAATACTGCTGGCTATTGTAATACAATGTTAAGTTACAGTAAAAATATGATACAAAAGATAAAAATGCTATGCTTGTATATGGAGCTTGCAGAACTAGAAGTTGCTGTGGGAGAGTCAATGATTGAGTGAGTGAATGTGAAGGCCTTAGGACATTGCTCTACACTACTGTAGACGTTATAAACACTGTACACTTAGGCTACACTAAATCTATTAAACTTTTTTTTTTTTGAGACAGAGTCTTGTTTTGTTGCCCAGGCTGGAGTGCAGTGGCACAATCTCGGCTCACTGCAACCTCCACCTCCTGGGCTCAAGCAATTCTCCTGCCTCAGCCTCCTGAGTAGCTGGGATTACAGGTGCGCGCTACCACGCCCGGCTAATTTTTTATATTTTTGGTAGGGACGGGGGTTTCATCATGTCGGCCAGGCTGGTCTCGATCTCGTGACCTCGTGATCCACCCGCCTCAGCCTCCCACAGCTCTGGGATTACAGAAGTGAGCCATTGTGCCCGGCCACATTTTTTCTTTCTTCAATAATAAATTAAACTTAGCTTCCTGTAACATTTTTAGTTTAAAAATATTTTAATTTTTTTTAAACTTTGTGATTCCTTTGTAATAACACTTAGTCTAAAACACATTGTCTAACTGTACAAACATATTTTCTTTCTTTATATTCTTAGTCTATACGTTTTTCTCTATTTTTAACAATTTTTATTTTTAGTTTTTAAACTTTTCATTAAAAACAAAGACACAAACACACATACTAGCCCAGGTCTACACAGGGTCAGGATCATCAATATCACTGTCTTCCATCTCTATGTCTTACCTCGCAGGGAGACGGGGGCAGTAACATGCATGATCACCAGTATCACTGTCTTCCATCTCTATGTCTTACCTCGCAGGGAGAGGCGGGCAGTAACGTGCATGGAGCTGTCACCTCCTATGACAACAACACCTTCTGGAATACCTCCTGAAGGACACGCCTGAGGATGTTTTACAGTTAACTTTTTAAAAAATACATAAGTAGAAAGAGAACACTCTAAAATAAAAATAAAAGGTATAGTATAATAAACACAATAACAAAGTCACTTATTACTATCAAGCATTGTATGCTGTACATAATTGTATGTGCTATGCTTTTATATGACTAACAGTGCAATAGATTTGTTTACACCACCATCACTAAGGGCATGCAAGTAATGTGTTGTGCTACAACATACTACAACTATGATGCCACTAGGTAACAGAAAATGTTCAGCTCCATTATAATCTTATGGGACCACCTTCCTAGATGCAGTCTGTCATTGATGGAAACGTTGTTACACAGCACATGACTATAGACTAATAGCCATAGATTTATAATATGGGAGGATGTACTATATATGCATTGAAAAGAGCTCTGGAAGGATACCAATACATTACCAGAGGTTGCTTCTGGGCCTTAGGGTATGTGTGGTTTTATATTTTCTCCTTTGCACTTTTCTGTGTCGTATCCAAAATTTCAACAACATAATACATTTACTGTTAGGAAAAATAACCTATTAATTAAAAACAAGATACAGGAAAGAGGGAAATGTTGCAGCTAGCCACAAGGTTAATAACTTATTTTAAAACATGTTAGGAACTATTTATTCATTTGTTTGATTATTCATTCAAGAAATATTTTTGATTGCCTAATATGTGCTAGGAATTTGGCTATGCTCTGAGGCTAACAGGTGAACAAAGCAGTGATTTATTTGCTCTTCTTTGCATTGGTCGCTATAGGAGGAGGCCAATAGATGCTATCGCATGAAAATAATAATTGTTGCTGGGCGTGGTGGCTCACACCTATAATCCCAGCACTTTGGGAGGCCGAGGTGGGTGGATCACCTGAGGTCAGGAGTTCAAGAGCAGCTGGCCAACATGGTGAAACCCTCATCTCTACTAAAAATACAAAAAGTAGTTGGGCGTGGTGGTGCACACCTATAATCCCAGCTACTCAGGAGGCTGAAGCAGGAGTATCACTGCAACCCAGGAGGTGGAAGTTGCAGTGAGCCGAGATCACACCACTGCACTCCAGCCTGGGTGACAGAATGAGACTCCGTCTCAAAAACAAACAAACAAAAGCAAAATGAAAATAATAATTTTTTTTTTGAGACTGAGTTTTGCTCTTGTTGCCCAGGCGAGATCTCGGCTCACTGCAACCTCCGCCTCCCAGGTTCAAGCAGTTCTCCTGCCTCAGCCTCCCAAGTAGCTGGGACTACAGGCGTGTGCCACCATGCCCGGCTAAGTTTTGTATTTTTCGTAGAGACAGGATTTCACCATTGTTGGCCAGGATGGTCTCGATCTCTTGACCTCGTGATCCACTCGCCTCAGCCTCCCAAAATGCTGGGGGGTTTACTTTATTTTAAAATAAAAACTCCTAACCTCTTAAGTTAAATAAAATGTTTTAATATATAAACATTCATTTTTATGCCAACATAGTCATAAAATATTACCTAATTTTTTTTTTTAATAGAGGAAGGGGCCTGCAAAGCAAAGGTGTCAGGCCCATGAAAGTCAGAGTAGAGCCCTGGCTGTGGCCCCAAGGAAAGGCAGTTTTTTAGTTTGCGTCCCACATGCTGGCAGTTTTCAAAGTCTGACTGCAATATTTAGAAGAGAGAACTCTGCAGAGAGATGGCCTCTTTGGGTTTCCCCACAGCAAAACAAAACACTTCATGAAAAACACCCTCATAAATTGGTCCTCACTTCAAATCACAGGATAGTTGCATAACTTGTGTCCCCATTGTGGACAGCTGCTTCCAGCTCAGGGAGATGGCATGATTCTCTGAGGAGTTGGAGTAGTTTGGGTGATGCATGGCGTGTGCATATTCTCTTACTGTAAAAAGAGAAGCAAACCTATAATGATGATAATTTGACACAGTGGGTAGAAAGGGGTGGGCAGGATCTGAGGATCGTTCTGTCAGGGACCAACCGGTCATCAAAGAAATTGTTAAGTTAGCACAGATTAGAATAATTGATGCTAACATTATCTCTGGATGGACTATTCTACCTCATGACTCTCATGAAAATGGGGTGGATGGCGGGGCGTGGTGGCCCATGCCTGTAATCTCAGCACTTTGGGAGGCTGAGGCAGATGGATCATCCAAGGTCAGGAGTTCGATACTAGCCTGGTCAACATAGTGAAACCTCATCTCTACTAAAAATACAAAAAATTAGCTGGATGTGGTGGCGTGTGCCTGTAGTCCCAGTACTTGGGAGGCTGAGGCAGGAGAATTGCTTGAACCCGGGAGGCGGAGGTTGCAGTGAGCCGAGATCGTGCCACTTCACTCCAGCCTAGGTGACAGAAAGGGACTCCATTTCAAAAAAAAAAAAAAAAAAAAGAAGTGGATGTCAAAGTCATCTGGGGAGCATTTACAAGGTGAAGGCATCCACAAGAGTCTAATTCCCCACCCTCCAACCCTCACCCCATCCAGGGAAGTTTCCATACCTTCCTCTTAAAAATCACTGCCATAGTAAGCTCCTGTTACTGAAGAAAACATATTATATTTCTCAATGTGATGAACTGGGGGAAAGATTGATAACTGCTGATGTGGAAGACAAAGGAATACTGAGAGACGGGGAGCCAACACCTTCCTATTATTTACCATGGCCAGGTGCTGTAGTGCTTTACGTATTTAACTCATTTAGTCTTCACAATAATCCTGCAAGGGGGTTAGTGTTACTAACCCCATTTTCTAGATAGAGAAACTGAGGCACAGAGCGGTTAGGTAACTTGATTGAGGCCACATAGACAATAAGTGACAGTGCTGGGAGACAAGCCCAGAGCCTGGCTCTGGAGTTTGTGCTATGACTAGTTACTGAGTGGAGAAATCAATCATCAAAACGACACCCACGTATTTTACAATGCCTGTGCACATGAACTAGCTAGAAAATCTGTATATTTTACTAATAATGTCATGTGTTCTTTTCCCGACCCTTTGTTTTATAAAACCCTAGGGAGGCATCCTTCCATTATCATTGAATAGGAATTCTGGAATCCTGTGTACACCCAGCCATTTATCTGGAGGTATCTGGCAAAGGACTATTTTGTTAAAAAAAACAAAAAAAATAACTAGCCAAAGTATGAAGTAACAAAATTTGTACTTTGAGATGCCACATGTATTGAAACAAGTCTGGATTTATTTATATCTTTAATCATTTTCTCTCATGTTTCAACATGTTTTTGGTCTCTCTAGTAGGTTATGAAATCCAGTTCAAATAGATTTCTCAACAGTTGGTTCTGAACATAGATGCTCAGGGGAATATCAAGAACTTTCTCTAATTCACCACTCATGTCCAACATGAAAAGGTGTTAGAAAGCTACTGCTTTGTTCTTGTTATTTTCTGGTTTCCTATTTCTCAGCTGTGAACTTGAGTAGGTCTGTATTGGGACCAACCTCTTCCTTCTTCAGCCATCACTGCCTGCCCCAAGTGCAGCTCCCAAGCTGGCCTTGACCACTCAGCCTTTGCATGCTTTCTCCTTGCCCTTCCCCTAACCCTAATGAGGATTTTACCTCTCAGGGAAAATGCCTGTCCTTTTTAAATGTTTCCTCTGTGAAAGGCATTTCAGCCATCTGGGAAACACAAGGAATGCTCTTTGCTAAAGGCATACCTCCCAGTCAACTGTTTAAACTTTATTTAAGGGTGGACAATAAATTGCTTTATGTCCCTGATTATCTGCCCAATTGCAAATGAAAATGGACCCATGACAAGAGTTGTAGAAGGTCGTGAGAGGAAGCAAAGTCTTTTTTTTCTCCAGAGCTATAATGGTGCAGGAATACTCTGCCAATTCTCTCTCTCTCTCTTTTTTTTTTTTTGAGAAGGAGTTTCACTCTTGTTGCCCAGGCTGGAGTGCAATGACGCGATCTCGGCTCAGTGCAACCTCTGCCTTCTGGGTTCAAGCGATTCTCCTGTCTCAACCTCCCGAGTAGCTGGGATTACAGGTGCATGCCACCACACTCAGCTAATTTGTGTATTTTTAGTAGAGACGGAGCTTCATCATATTGGTCAGGCTGCTCTCGAACTCCTGGGCTCAGGTGATCCGCCCATCTCGGACTTCCAAAGTGCTGGGATTACAGGCGTAAGCCACCACACCCGGCCCAATTCTCCTTACTGAGGTGTGTGTATGTAGTATTTAGTTTATTTTTATGATTGCAAAAATAATACAGAATTGCCATCTCTATTCGGAAAACAAAGAAAGGCACGAAGATGAATATAAAGTAATCTACAGTCCCACAGCCAGAGATAATGCATGTTAATCATGTCAATATGTAGATATTAACTCGTATCCACCAAGTCATTAAAAGGACATGTTCTATTCACTGTTTTGTTATATGATTTTTAAAAAATCTAATTACTGGCTGGGCGCGATGGCTCAAGCCTGTAATCCCAGCACTTTGGGAGGCCAAGGCGGGCAGATTATGAGGTCAAGAGATCGAGACCATCCTGGCTAACAGGGTGAAACCCCGTCTTTACTAAAAATACAAAAAATTAGCCAGGCGTGGTGGCTGGCGCCTGTAGTCCCAGCTACTTGGGAGACTGAGGCAGGAGAATGGCGTGAACCTGGGAGGCGGAGCTTGCAGTGAGCCGAGATTGTGTCACTGCACTCCAGCCTGGGTGAGAGAGCAAGACTCTGTCTTAAAAAAAAAAAATCTAATTACTGTATTTTGATTTTTTCATATCATTAAATATTCTTCTATCAATACCACATACCAAACATCATGTCACTTTATTGATGTATCTGGCCCCTAAATTAAATTTAACATATTTAGTGTATATATTTAGGTTGAACTACTTTTAATAGCTATTTTTCTAGTTTAAAGTAGTTGAGTATCACCGATTTCAGTGTTTCAACCTGATATTTTCCTGTTACTAGATTTTTAGGTTACTTCCAAATTTTCTTTTATAAACATTGATGCACTGAACATTTTCCCCATAAATCTCTTTGCAAAACTGTGATTATTTTCTTAGGATACATTCCTGGCAGTGGAATTGCTGGGCCAAGGGGGATGAATATTTTTATGGCTTTTGATACACAATGCCAACTTTCCTTCTCGATAATGCTGATTTATAATCTCTTTGGTATCTTCTCTGCTGCTTTTTTTTTTAAAGACTCAATTATTCTGTTCAGTTAAACTTTGTATTAATTACCATGAAAACATGTGACTATTGGTTATCTTTCAGCACAGTCTTCCATTTTATACTTTATCAAATAATATTTTTATGTGCGCAGAGCCCTCATAAATCCTTATTTAATGTAGATTTGAGGATAAATATTGCTTAGATCCAATCACCACGTAGAGTGGTGATGTACTAAAGGAGAGGGAGACATGGTGTGGGTACACGTGTGCACGTAGATGAGTGTGTATATAAGTATACATTAGGGAACTCTGACAGTCACTCTTCTACAGGTAACAATTGATTGGGTCTAAAGGAAAAATTTTATCTATTTATTTATTTATTTTTTGAGATGGAGTCTCACTCTGTCGCCCATGCTGCAGTGCAGGGGCGCGATCTTGGCTCATTGCAACCTCTGCCTCCCGGGTTCATGAGATTCTCCTGCCTCAGCCTCCCAAGCTGGGATTACAGGTGGCTGCCACCATGCCTGGCTAATTTTTGTATTTTTAGTAGAGATGGGGTTTCACTATATTGGTCAGGCCAGCCTCAAACTCCTGACCTCAAGTGATCAACCCGCCTCGGCCTCCCAAAGTGCTGGGATTATAGACATGAGCCACTGCGCCTGGCCTGTTACCTTTAGTCTCAGATTAAACTACCTAACTTTGAAAGAAAAGCTTGCAATAGGAGATTTACAACCTGATAGAAAACATATGCTGATAATTTGCATGTACATTAAATGGACAACTTGCACATTATTGAGTTATTATACATTATTGGGCTTATTAATTCATATTAAGAAATTACAGGCAACATAATCCTTCTCTTTTCCTAGAATAAGTAATATAATAGATTTTTTAAAAATGAAAATATGTTAAAATCTCTGTACCTCTTCCCTACCACGCTGTGCATTTGGAAATATGAAATAACAGATAAGTGACAGCTCTGATTATCAAAGCAGGAGCAGAATTTACAACTTAAAGTTTCATAAAACAACACTGAAATAATAATTTTCAAATCAGCAAAGATGTTTCAAAACTACACTTGTAAGATTTGTTCTCTTATGCAAGTGTTAGTGAGAGTGTGAATTAGTAAAACCTTTCTGAAAACAACTTGGCAATATGCTTTAATAAACTTAAATTTTTTTATCTTTTAATTTAGTAGTTTAAAAGAGCAATTAGATATGGAGGAAAAGATTTGTGAACAAGTGAAACATTCACAATACATTGATTGTAGTATCATTTGGAAGCAATCCAAGTGTTGTTACAGGAATGGATTAAAAAGTCATATTGTATGATAGAATATGATGTGGTCATAAAAACGCTGTCTCTAATGAGTTTTCTTTTATAAAATGGAAAATGAAATTGTTAAATTTCATTTAGGTTAAATTGTAGGTAAAGCAGGATATATAATACATATATATAATACATATATTGTATACACATAAATATTTTCTCACATTATCAATTCCTAATCACAAGTTTATTAATACAGAATCGAATAAATAGAAAAAAGTCTTAAAGGAAATATACCAAAAAAATCCAAATACAAAAAAATCCGTGGGCAGTGTGATTGTTGATAATTATTGCTTTTGGTTTTACATTTTTCTGCCTGTTCTGATTCCCCTAAAATGAAGACATATTAACTTTTATAAAATGAGAGTTGTTGTGAAAGGAAAAAAAGAAGAATGAAAGGAGGGAGGAAAGAAGGAAGGAAGAATGACAGAGACAGAGGGAAAGAATGAGGAGGAAAAAAGAAGGAAAAATGGATTTCATAATGTTTTGGAAGTAAATTGTCCTGTCTGATAAAGAAAATATTATTCTGGAAAAGAAGAAAACAAGAACATTTTGACTGGACTGCTGAATGCCTGTACAGATACGATTATTTCTCTTTTTCAAACTGTTTCATAGCAGGAGAAAGAAAGGCAGGAGACTGACAGAATGAGATCTAGTAGTTCACCCTAGATGGACTTGGTCCATGGAGCTCACAAACAAAAGATAATGGAGGTAAATAAGGTGCCAGGGTTGTTTAGTAACCTCTGTAACTGTGGAAATCAGCTACCTGGGACATAGTTCAAGTCCCTCTCTCTTTCTCAGTGGGGCCCTTACCTAACCGCTCAGGTTATGTGAATGCTTGTCACATGGATTCGTTTGACGCTCGGCTTACTCTCTATTAGCCTGGTATTGGTCTTTCTAGGGGCCATGGTTTATATCTTTCTGCGTCTGTTACCTTGCACTATGTACCATGCCACATGTTTGATTAATGCTAACAAAAGGGTATATATTAGCCTGAGTTCTGGGTTGCAAAAGTGGAAACTGACTCCAGATAACTTAATAAGAGAAGGAATTATTGCAAGAGCCTTGGGCTGCTGACAGAATTGGAAAGAAAACCAGAGATCCGGACTCAGCAGGATGCAATGGAGGCCCAGGAGGGCTGATATGGTTTGGACGTTTGTCTCCTTCAAATCTCATGCTGAAACATAACCCTAGTGCTGGAGGTGGGGCCTGGAGGGAGGGATGGAATCATGGGGGTGGATCCCTCATGAATGGCTTAGCACCTTCCCCTTAGCGATGAGTGAGTTCTTGCTCTGAGTTCAGGTGAGATCTGGTTGTTTAAAAGAACGTGGCACATCCCCCTTCTCTCTCTTGCTCCTGCTCTCGCCCTGTGATTTGCTGGTGTCCTCTTCACCTTCCGCCATGATTGTAAGCTTCCTGAGGCCCTCACTAGAGGTGGATTCTGGCACTCTGTTTCATGAGCAGAGTGCAGAACCATGAGCCAATTAAACCTCTTTTCTTTATAAATTACCCAGCTTCAGGTATTTCTTTGTAGCAATGCAAGAACTGACTAACAAATACAAGAACTGAGCCCTTGTCACAGGAATGGCCTAGCAGGACATCATCATTACTGCTGTCACCATGCTTACCTACTGCCAGCCAACTCTGTTCTCACTGTTGCTGTACTGAAGAACTCTTCCAGCTCTGAGCAAGGAGATCTTGCTTCTGTGGTTGCAGCTACAGTGACTGATAGCTGACTGAGTCTATCTTAAGAGTCCAGAACTGGTAGGGGCATCTGCTCAGCCACTCTAGCTGTTAGGGGCAGAGGCAATGTAATATCCATCTTTCTTGGCTTCTGTAGCAGGAGTTAAGACTGACCTCTCACTAATGTTGGAAATCCCCTCAATTAAGAAGGGTGTTTGGATGGTGGGCAACCAAAATGTCAAATATTCATTATGAACAGTGTTGATGATGAAACAAAGACCATAGCTTTACTTTTGTAAAATAATATTGTCTGATTTAACACAATTTTAAAAACACAGGCCAAGGTGTGGTGTCTGGATCATCAGAGTATTAGAAAGATACTGGAGAGAGAACATCCTCCCGATGGGCAGAGCTCCAGTACTGCACGTGATCATGAACTTTGTGTGAAAACAAAGGTGGTGTGAATTAAGGATATGCACTGACTGCCTGGGAATATCAAGTGGCTTAGCTGGTTACAGGGAACCTGGAAGAAGCAAGATTGTAAAGTCAAGATTAAAGAGGTCCAGAGAAGACGCATGTGGATGGATCCGAGGGAGGATGAGGATTTTTCTGTCATGTGTTAATACCTCCCCACCCCCAGAGAGCACCCCTCACAGAAGGGGCACTAAATAAGCATGTGGATAGGAGGGCTCAGCCTGCAAATGTCCACCAGCAGTGGCCTCAGCCACCCCAGTGCTTGTGCAATGGGCTCAGAATGGAGTAGCCATGGTGACAGAGAGGGAGGCTATGCATGTGCTCAGTTGCATGGGCTCTCTTTTGTCAAAGCCCACTGCTGCTGAATGTCCAGCCTGTCAGCACAGAGATGAATGCTGAGCCCTTGGCATGGCACCATTCCTCAAACAGGCCCACCAGCCACTTGGTCACAATTTGATTAGATCAGATCCCTTCAACTTTAGAAAGGGCAATGTTTCTTCCTGACTGGGTAATGATTTGCCTTTCTTGCCTATAGTATCTCAGTCAGCCCACCACCCAAAGGCTCATCTACCAAACTGGGATCACATATAATATTGCCTCAGACCAAGGGACCCTTGCTATGGCCCAGGAGATGAATTGGTGGAAACATGGCAGTGAGATCCACCAACCCTATCACATACTGCACCATCCGCAAGATGCTGACCACTACCAGAGTGAAAGTGAAGTTGCAGCTGTGGCACCAGCTTGGAGGTAACACCACATGATGATGGGCACTAGACTTCAAGGTGCAGTACTGCCTCAAACCAATGGCCAGTGTATGATGCTGAACTCAATAGGTAGAGTACAGAGTCCGGGAAACAACAGGCAGAGGTAGGAGAAGCCCCACTTAACATCACTTTCAATGACCCTTTGGGGCATTTATACTTCCTATCCCTGCAACTTTAGTCTCTGTGGATCTGAATATTCTGGTTCCCAAAAGGTTGTCAATTATACTGTGCACACAGTAAAACATCATTATATTTAAAGCTAGAGCTGTCCCCTGGTGATTTTAGGTTGCTTGTGCCAATACACCAACAGGCACAAAAAAGAGTCAGCATACTATTAGGACTAACTGCATCTGATGATCATGAGAAGGTAGATCTGATACTATGTAATGGGGTAGAGAGGAAAATATTAGGCTCTCAGGTGATCCACTGGGGCATCTATTAGCACTCCCATACTCAGTTTTAGCTGTAGATGGGCAAACACAGCAACCACAGCCTGTTTAGGTCATGGTAACCAGCGGCTCAGACCACTTCACAGATGAAGGCCTGGGTGACTGAACTAGGCAAGTTAAGTAGACCAGTATAAATACACATAGTAATCTAAAACAAGTGGAAGAAGAGGAGGAAAATGAAGAGGTGGGGGAGGAGGAGGAGGATTGAGCATCAGTTCCCACCCCAGGACCAACTTCAGCGGCAGGGACTATAATTCATCCCGCCAAATCTTTTCTTATAAACGTCCCCAGAAACTGGGCCTAACAGGAACCCTGAAGAATATATGCCTAGATAGAGAGAACTTAGTGTAAGAAGCAAGTAGATCTGACCAGTACACGAGGAGGATACAGTGGGTGCTACTGATGCCTCACACAGATACCGCCTACTGAGCAGGTCTGAGTCATGACCCAGCTGTTGTGTGGCTGCTCCTTCTCCAGAGAACTGTCTTTGAGCAGCAAGAACTACCTCAAGAATTTATGCCCTCCCTCCACCCCCAACCTTGCCACCCACAGGAGCAGGAATGACTGACTAACCTAGTAGTGCAAGAGCCAGCCCCAGTGTGCAATAAACAATAAGGTGCAATTCATGCTCCAGAGCTGCCCAGGGGATGGGGCTGAAGCTAGGCTCCAGCTGAGGCCTCATCCTTGCTTAGCTTTCTCCCTGCTCCTTAGAGCGACCCCCTCAATAAATCACTTGCACAGGAATCCCCATCTCAGAGTCTGCTTCTAGGGGATCCCAAACAGTCACTATTAAATATTTTATATAAAAATATTTTCATCTTAATTTCAAGGAGTTCGATGTCTCTGGCGGCATTTTAATTGTACTCCTGTAAAAAGATCCTTTTCACCAATTAAAACTGATATATTTGGGCCATTTTTGTGCCGTTTCTAAGGATTCCCAGGGTGCGATTTGTGAAAAGCAAGTGTCTCAAAATAATCTAGGACTCAGAAAAAAAAAAAGTAAAATTGTGTTAAATGGTTTGAGAAATGCTGAATTAAACATCTTATTCTTGAAAATTCACATGCATATTAGCCATTAAAGACTGTGAGGCAGCGCTGCTAGTGGTTAAATGCCTCTGGGAGACCTGTGTTCAAATCCTAGCTCAACCGTAAGCCATTAATTAGGACCATCATTTAACTTTCCTGTTTCTAAGTTTCCGATACATAAAATAGATTAGCACATACCTCACCATCATAATGCGAGAATTAAATGATAGAATGCATAAAAAGCACTTAGCACAGTGCCAGGCACATAATGTATGCCATAAAACGTAACAAGAAGGCCGGGCGCAGTGGCTCACGCCTGTAATCCCAGCACTTTGGGAGGCTGAGGCGAGCGAATCACCTAAGGTCGGGAGTTTGAGACCAGCCTGACCAACATAAAGAAACCCGGTCTCTACTAAAAATACAAACTTAGCCAGGCATGGTGGCACATGCCTGTAATCTCAGCTACTTGGGAGGCTGAGGCAGGAGAATAGCTTGAACCCGGAGGCAGAGGTTGCAGTGAGCTGAGGTTGCGCCATTGCACTCCAGCCTGGGCAACAAGAGCGAAACTCTGTCTCAAAAACAAGAAAAGTAAATAAATAAAAATAAGTGCCTTGGGTTGAGTGAAGAGGCAAAGAACTGCTTAATTTTCTTCACCACAGAATCCTTTTTTTTTTGAAACGGAGTCTGGCTCTGTTGCCCAGGCTGGAATGCAGTGACATGATCTAAGCTCACTGCAACCTCTGCCTCCTGGAGAACCCTTTTTCTTTACACACACACACACACACACACACACACACACAAATACACACAGAAAAACCCAGAGATGCATTTTATAAACTGCTGATTTAGTGAAATTAGACCATGCTTACTCATCATAAATATTATCTGAAGCAGTTGAGCTGTGTAAACATTTAAACAAGATAACTTCGGGCAAATGCCCCTAATGATAATCCAGAGCTCTCTGCATTAAAAAAGAAAGGAAGAAAAAAAGAAGAATCATTAATTTAATTCTAAGAAAATAAGTATGTGCCTTGCTCATATTTTCCAAATCAACATCTACTTTTTACCTTGACTGCATGATGTTCTAGCCAAAATACTCTTGACGTTTGTTTAGTTAATAACAGGTTATGTGTCAAAACTTGAAAATAATTATCCTCCTGTATCTCAGAGAGGATACAGTCTGGGTTACCCCACTTTTTCTGTATTCACTGCACTCCTGAGAGGAATCCTAGTGGGGCACGGAGGGGCAAAGGGTAAGAGGCTCTGCTCTCGAAGGAAGAGTTTGGTTGAGGGGTCAATCTCAGGAAAGCCAGAAGCTGGAGCCAAAAGTGCTCAGGTTAAGGAAATCGTGCTTTGCTCAGTAGGCACAAGAGCCTTCAGACAGAATATTTTTATTGAGTGTAGACAATAAAACATCCAGAAAAATAATGAGGCATTTTCAGAAAAAGAGATTCAAGAGGTATTGTATTAGTTTGCTAGGGCTGCCCTAACAGACTGCCATGACAGACTTCAATAATAAAAATGTATTTTCTCACAGTTCTGAAGGCTAGAAGTCCAAGATCAAGGTGCTGGCAGGGTTGGTTTCTGGTGAGGCCTCTCTTCCTAGCTTGCAGACGGCCGGCTTCTTGCTCTGTCCTCCCATGGCCTATTTTCTGTACATGCCCTTGGTGTCTCTTCCTCTTCTTATAAGAATGCTAGTCATATTGGATTAGGGCCCATCCTTATGACTTTATCTGACCTTAATTACCTCTTTAAAGACCCTATCTCCAAATACAGTCACATTCTGAGATACTGGGGGTTAGGGCTTCAACATATGAATTGAGGAGAAACACAATTTAGTCTATAACAGGTATTAATATAAATCAAGCATATTTTTTGACATACGGGCATACGGTCTATCTCCTGAAAATATTTATTAGCCTTGAAGTCCAGACAGTCTTAAGACAATGCTTTTGCGTGTTGTACCTTTGCATATTTACTTCTATGGCATCCTGAAAGGCAAGTTCTTCCTCTTCCCAATCCTAGGATAATGCTATCTGCATTTGGAATCATCACTTTAAAATCATTTAATCAGCAGGGTGCGGTGGCTCACGTCTGTAATCCCAGCACTTTGGAAGACCGAGGTGGGCGGATCACAAGGTCAGGAGATGGAGATCATCCTGGCTGACATGATGAAACCCTGTCTCTACTAAAAATACAAAAAATTAGCTGGGCATGGTGGCACATGCCTGTAATCCCAGCTACTCGGGAGGCTGAGGCAGGAGAATTCCTTGAACCTAGGAAGCAGAGGTTGCAGTGAGCTGAGATTGCGCCACTGCACTCTAGCCTGGTGACAGACTCTGTCTCTAAATAAATAATAAATAAATAAATAAATACATAAATAAAATCATTTCATCATTTAGGAGAGAGTAGATCTCCTCTCCCACAGAGCCTTCCCTCAAATGCTACATCTATACACTTCTGTATGGGAGAATAGCCAATTCAGAGTCTGGAAACCAGAATTCTAGTCATAGTTTTATCTCTAACTAGTCAAGTGATCCTAGGAAAGTTATATCACCTCTTTAGGGCAAGGCAACATTTGGCCTGTAGCCTTCACCTCTGGAAACAAGTTCCCTTTCATTACTCTTCACTGAGAGTCAAAATGTGCAAGGGCCGGGAGCAGTGGCTCATGCCTGTAATCCCAGCACTTTGGGAGGCCGGGGCAGGCAGACCACCTGAGGTCAGGAGTTCAAGACCAGCCTGGCAAACATGGAGAAACCTCGTCTCTACTAAAAATAGAAAAATTAGCCGGGTGTGATGGCAGGCACCTATAATCCCAGCTACTCAGGAGGCTGAGGCAGGAGAATCACTTGTACCCAGGAAGTGGAGGTTGCAGTGAGCCAAGATCAGGCCACTGCACTCCAACCTGGGCAAGAGAGAGAGACTCCGTCCTAAAAAAAAAAAAAAAAAAAAAAAAAAGTTCCCAAAGATCACTGGTCTCTCATTATTTTCACACAGTTATTTTGTAACCAAATCTAACATTCAGATGTTATACAAAATAGAAAACAGATTACTATGGCAAGAGTCCAGGTTCTACTACCTAAAAAAGAAATAGGAAAATGAAACTTCACAATAGAAACTGATTTCAACAGGAGAAAAATGAAACACAAACTTATATTTCCTCTTTGCAGCTATGTTTTGGGACTTCCTCTTTCACCCATCAAAATATTTCTTTAAAAAAAAAAATCTTTCCTTCCAAGTTTTTTCTTCCTTTGTTACTATGACATGAATAAATCACCTTGTAGATTCTCTGTGTTTTGACTGCCTTCTCATGGTCAGGGACTAGAAAGACCTGTTGTGTGGCCATTTGCTATGGTCTGCCCTACCCTGACCCCTCAGTTCCTACATTGAAGTCCCAACCTCCCAGCTGATGGTAGTAAGAGGTGGGATCTTTTGGAGGGTGACTGGATCATGATGGCCAAGCTCCTGTGAATGGGATTAGTGCCCTTCTAAAATAGGCCCAAGGGAGCTCATTCACCTCTTGTCACCTCTTTTCACCTCTTCCACCATGCAAAGACACAGCAAGAAGATGCTGTCTTTGAACCAGGAAAGCTAGCCCTCACAGACACCAAGTCTGCCTTGATCTTAAACTTTCCAGGCCCTGGAACTGTGAGAAGTAAATTTCTGTGGTTTATAAACCACCCAGTTTAAGATATTTTGTTGTAGAAACCCCAACAGACTAAGTCAGCAATGCAAAAAATATTAGAACTAAAGGGACCTTGCACTAATCTCATATAAGCCCTTCATTTTTAAATATGAAAACAAAACAAAACCGAAGTCCTGGCAATTAGCCTACTAAATCCACAGGTAGCCAGAGGTAGAACTGACTCATTGTTATGTCTCCCCAGCTCAAACGTGTTCTTCCAGATCATAAACATTGGCTTATGCTTCTTTCCATCTCCTTTAAACCCCAGACAACTGCTGGGCACATGTAATACTTTAAAAATATTTCTATATCGGCCAGGCATGATGGCTCATGCCTGTAATCCCAGCACTTTGGGAGGCCGAGGTGGGTGCATTACCTGAGGTCAGGAGTTTGAGACCAGCCTGAGTAATATGGTGAAACACCGTCTCCACTAAAATTACAAAATTAACCAGGCTTGGTGGCATGTGCCTGAGGTCCCAGCTACTTGGGAGGCTGAGGCAGGAGAACTGCCCAGGAGGCAGAGGTTGCAGTGAGCCGATATCACACCATTGCACTCCAGCCTGGGCAAAAAAATCAAAACTCCATCTCAAAATAAATAAATAAATAAATACCAAAAACAAAATACTCATATAGCAACAATGCCATTACCCTAAAATGGTGGTAAAGGCTAAAAGCAAAAAATCCTAAAAAGAGAGAAAAGTATTAATGTAATAACCCTAGAACCACGAAGAATTATTTCCAAGTATTAATATAATTTGGTAAAATAATTGTTAGACCCAATGGAATCATCAAGAAAAGCAACCACGTGATTATACAACATGCTCTGCTATAGAATAGAATAAACCTTTCAGAGCTGGAGAGAACCACAGACTTACGTAGTAACAACTCTTAATTTTGAAGGTAAGAAAGCAAAAGGACAAGAATAGCCAAGATTTTCTTGAAGAAGGTGGCAAGAAGGCTTTTTGTTTTTATTTATTTATTTATTTATTTATTTATTTATTTATTTATTTATTTTTGAGTTGGAGTCTCGCTCTGTTGCCCAGGCTGGAGTGCAGTGGTGCGATCTCAGCTCACTGCAAGCTCCACCTCCTGGGTTCACACCATTCTCCTGCCTCAGCCTCCCAAGTAGCTGGGACTACAGGTGCCCGCCACCACGCCCGGCTAATTTTTTGTATTTTTAGTAGAGACGGGGTTTCACCGTGTTAGCCAGGATGGTCTCGATCTCCTGACCTCGTGATCTGCCCACCTTGGCCTCCCAAAGTGCTGGGATTACAGGCATGAGCCACCGCTCCCAGCTAATACATTTTATTATATTAAAATTAACAATTTCTGCTTATTAAAACAAACCACTAAATGAGTGCAAAGAAAATCCACAAAGCACTCGATTATTTGCAACACACATAAGCAGCAAAGGACAAGTATCTAGACTACCTGAAGAATTTCCACAAATTGGCCAGGCGTGTGCCTATAATCCCAGCTACTCAGGAGGCTGAGGCAGGAGAATTGCTTGAACCTGGGAGGCAGAGGTTCCAGTGAGCTGAGATCACGCCACTGCACTCCAGCCTGGGCAACAGAGCAAGACTCTGTCTCAAAAAAACAAACGACAACAACAAAAAAAGAATTCCCACATTTGGTAACAGCAAAACAATATGATAGAAAAAAGCATTAAAAAAATTTTTTGAACAGTTACTGCCAGGAAGATGGAACCCTAATTAAATAATTACATATCAAGAAACAATTACATATTAAAAATATAATTAGGTTGAATATTATAAGGAAATGCAAATTAAAGCCCCATTATGAGGAAATGCAAATTAAAGCCACAGTGACATCCTCTTATACACTACCAGCTGGCAAAACACTCCTACAATACCAAATGAGTATGCAGTGCCACAAGAACTCTTTTACTGCTGGAAAGATGACAAATTGGTGCTAGCTTGTGGAAACTTTTCCCAGTAAAATGACATGAACAAAATCTACAACCCAGGTAAATGTTTATGTGCATCAGGAGACATATATAAGAATGTTCACGACAATACCGACTATTCAAAAATTGAGAAACTTCCTAAAAGCCCATTAACAGTTGAGTGGATTAATGGTGGAATACTTCTACAATGGAGTATAGAAGAGCAGTGAAAATTATAACAAACTACAGCGTTATACATCAACATGAATGAATTGTATGAATAATAAAATTGAGTGAAAGAAGCAAGTCATAAAAGAATATTTATCATATGATTCTATTTACACAGAATTCAGTTGGTAAAACTATTTTTTAAAAAGCAAGAAATTAAATATCACAATAAAAGTCAAGATAGCAATTCACTCTGGGGGCAATGGGCACACAGGGAGTGTCCAAGTGACTGGACAAAGGTAATAGACCTTGTACTACACCAAGGTCTTGTAATATACCAAGGTTCTAATTACAACCTAGGTGTTAGTTTCATGGCTTTATAATTATCACTTTATTATACATATATATGTTTTATATTATCTTCTATAGGCATGATGTATTTTATAAGTACAAAAATAATTTTGCATTACAAACGTTGGAAACAATCGGATTTTCTGTAGATTTACTTGAAAGAAGGTGAGTATAAAGCACTTTGCAGTTGTTATTATAAGGACAAAAATACTGCTCAACTGTGAATCCAAAACAGTAGAGCTTTCAAATTTTAAAGCTGAGTTTTTAATGTTGCCAATAGCAAAATGCTTTTCCCTTAATGGAGAATTAATGCCTTTCAAGCATCTGAAATATGGTAATACTCATAAATGTGTGGTTTGGAAGAATGTTTAAATTATTTTTTCTAGTTTTGTTTTTCCTCAGGATAGATTCAACCGGTAATTTGTAGTAATGACTTTTGGAGTGTGGTAGGAATGTTAAAAGCTAAGTACCTGGCCTTATTGAAGCCACATTGAACTTCCTGCTGATTTTTTTTCCTTCAGTAATAAACAAAATACTATGGGGGAAAAAAGCAATTTTAAAAGGAACAAAATAAGAAACTCAATATAGTAGAAAGGCATTAAACTTGGAGCCAGAAGTTGCTACTGAATATTCAAACGTTAAAAAAGAAAGAGTCTCTGCAAACATTAAGTCACTCAACTGTTCAGCAGTGGAAAGTGTCTTTGGGGTAGGAATGTTTTCAAGTTCTCTGGATACTATCATTGAATATTTTTGAAGTCTGGGTGATGTGTAAGCACCATTACATTGGGCAGCCATCAAGTAGTCTCTAAGTACCGCATTCTTCACAACGTAGTTTCATGTTATCATCACAACAAATCTCTAAGTCTGCATTATTATCCCTGTTTTACAGAGACAAGAACCTGAGGTTTAGAGAAGTTAAATGCCTTGCCCAGGTTCATGCAGTCAGAAAGGGAGAGAGTGCACCAGAGCTTCTCAACCTTTACTGTGCAGGTGAATCCCCTGAAATCTTATTAAAATACAAATGCTGATCAGAGGCAGTGGCTCATGCCTGTAATCTCAGCACTTTGGGAGGCCGAGGCAGTCAGACCACCTGAGGTCAGGAATTCGAGACCAGCCTGGCCAACATGGTGAAACCCTGTCTGTACTAAAAAATACAAAAATTAGCCTGGCGTGGTGGCACTCAGGTGTAGTCCCGGCTACTCGGGAGGCTGAGGCAGGAGAATCGCTTGAACCCAGGAGGCGGAGATTGCAATGAGCTGAGATCGCACCACTGCACTTCAGCCTGGGTGACAGAGCGAGACTCAGTCTCAAAATAATAATAATAATAATAATAATAAATACATAAATACATAAAACAAAATGCAGATGCTGACCCAGGAGATCTGTGGGCCCTGAGAACCTGCATTTATAACAGGCTCCCAGGTGCAGCAGAGACTGCTGGACCATGGACCCACCTCGAGTATTATGGGTTCTGGGGTCACACTGCTTGAAACTCTCAGGCCACCAATTTGTAGTTTAATGTCATAGGACAATTACATTACTTTTTTTCACCAATAAAAATGAGGGTAATGTGACCTCATGGGGTTGCTGTCACATAAAAAGTTATAATACTCATACAAGGCTTAGAAGAGTGCCTGGCACTTAGTGAGCATTCAAAAGTATTAGTTATTTATAATATGTAGCACACAGGTATGCTTCCAGTGATAATTTGTTTGTTACTAAAAGGAGCTAATAAATTATACCAGAGAGCTGTCAGCACAGTTCTAGCCCAGCAAGGAACTCTGCCTTCTTATATTCTGTAACTCTCACTCCTTATATTCTACTCAGATGTCTTACCTAGTTATTTCACATAATATTATGGAAAAACACTTGATTCCCAGAAGACTCTCTTATCTGGAGAAATAATCTCCCATATCTTTTTTTCAAAATCAGGTTCACTATGTGGAAGGAAACATTTTTCTAGGAAAAGATCCAAGGTTGAGAATCCAGCCAATTATTTAAAACTGTTGATTAAATCTAGACTGACAAATACTGTTGATGTAAACTATTTTGAAGTCAAAATGTTACCTTAAATGAAATAATCAACCAAAGACATTTTGGGGGAAAATTGCAGATTACAAATATTATTAATACCAAGTTCCTCCCCTCTCCAACACCCTGCCACAACACTGCTGTCTGATCACAGAGATTAAAGCTATGGCCTGGTCTTTCTTTGTTCCTTTCCTTTATCCTCTTCCTTTGTCATTTAGCCAAGCTCTAAAATTAAACTCAGTAAGTTTATTTATTTTTATTTTTATTTTTTTGAGACAGAGTCTCGCTCTGTTGCCCAGGCTGAAGTGTAGTGGCGTGATCTTAGCTCACTGCAACCCCTGCCTCCCCGGTTCAAGTGATCCTCCTGCTTCAGCCCTCCAAGTAGCTGGGATTACATGTGTGCACCACCACATCCAGCTAATTTTTGTATTTTTAGTAGAGACAGGATTTCACCATGTTGGCCAGGCTGGTCTGGAATTCGTGACCTCAGGTGATCCGCCCGCCTCTGCCTCGCAAAGTGCTGGAATTAGAGGAGTGAGTCACCACACTTGGCCAAAATTCAACAAGTTTAGAAAGGATCCTGGCCAGGCACAGTGGCTCACACATGTAATCCCAGCACTTTGGAAGGCTGAGGCGGGCGGGTTACTTGAGGTCAGAAGTTCGAGACCAGCCTGGCCTACACGGTGAAACTTGTCTCTACTAAAAATACAAAAACAAGCTGGGTATGGTGGCGTGTGCCTGTAATCCCAGCTACTCGGGAGGCTGAGGCAGGAGAATTGCTTGAACCTGGGAGGCAGAGGTTGCAGTGAGCCGAGATCGTGCCATTGCACTCCAGCCTGGGGGACAAGAGCAAAACTCCATCTCAAAAAAAAAAAAAACAAAAAAAGAAAGGATCTTAACAACACCTCTAACCCTGTCTTTGGTCAATGGAGAGACAAGCTAATTCGTTCAGTTGGAAATATACTTTCTAAACAAATATGTTTCTTTATTGCTGGTTTAGCAAGAATTATTTTTGTTTTATAAAATGTGTAGTTTTATGAAATCCAATTTTTATTAAAATAGAAATTTGTTAAAGCGGACATGATCAATTCTAAGAATAATGTGGATAAAATATAGGCATTTTGTGTCTTTTAAAAATAAATTAAGATTTACATATGTATTAGTGAAAACAAAATATGGTAAAAACTTGGCATGTTTAACTTCTCAATATACAGTTCATATTGAGTATGATTTTCTCCCATTGAATCTGGGAGAAAATTGATTATCCCTGTCTTTCCAGAAAATGCATTCTTCAGTATCAACACAATGTTGATACTGCCAAAAGAAAAAAAAAAATTAACGATACCTAGAGCTATTTCACTGCTAAACCTAAAACTATTTGATTTTACAATTACTGTATTTTCTGCATTGATGATATGTTCGTTATAGTCCAGTAGTATTGAAAAACAACATGGTTCTTTTTAAAGGTACTCATTCATCTATTATTAAAGGGATGGCTGAAAAGTAATAAACATCATACTCAACTATTACACAAACCTACTCCAACTTCTTTTATCAAGAGATTAACTACAACTAGATCAGTAAATAGCTCAGTTACAATCTTGACATTTTGTTTTTTCACTCTACTATTATTGTTGAGGATTCTGCGATTAATACTACCACAGTCATGACTGCTAACAGTGAGATCCACAATTATGAGTTTCATGGGCCCCAGGCCCTTTTGTCTGAGTCCCTTCTTCCATAAAATATGTTAACAATTATATTTTATGACTGCATTGGTAAAAAAACAAATATAACCCAGGTTGGATTACTTATTATACACTCATTATTCATTTTTTATCTGATTTTTTAAAAAATTAAAATTAAAACATTTTTTATCAACTCATAAAGTTTCATGGGCCTCAGGCACTTTGCCTACTGTGCCTAATGGGTAAGTTGGCACTACTAAAAGCAGCTAACTAGTGCTGAGCCCTCGTTAGTGTCAGGTATTGTGTTAACCCAGTTTCTTGCATTGTCTTACTGAACCTCCATATAACTCTTTTTTTTTTTTTTTGAGACGGAGTTTGGCTCTGTCACCTAGGCTGGAGAGTAGTGGCACAATCTTGGCTCACTGCAACCTCTGCCTCCTGGGTTCAAGCAATTCTTCTGCCTCAGCCTCCCAAGTCAACGGGGGCTACAGGCATGCGCCACCATGCCCAGCTAATTTTTGTATTTTTAGTAGAGACAGGGTTTCACCATATTGGCCAGGCTGGTCTCGAACTCCTGACCTCGTGATCTGCCTGCCTCGGCTTCCCAAAGTGCTGGGATTACAGGTATGAGCCACCATGCCTCGCCCATACAACTCTATAACATAAATATTAGTATTATTCCCACTTCACAGATAAGAAAACGGTAGCAGAAAGAAGTCACAGAGAAAATAATCACAGAGACCAGAATCAAATCCAGCCCCTCTTGATCCAAAGCCCGTGAATTTTATCACTACCCCATACGCCTTCCAAGAATTGATGGCTCAATAGGTCACTAACCCAGGGAGGAACCTGGTTACCAGCCTAGACTAATAGTTAAGGCATCAAACAGGCCATTCTCTTCTAAGCTGTAAAACACTGTGTTAACTTCTTCACCAGCTATAAGACCCTACTATAAAAAAACACAGATTGACTGCCAGTCATGCAGATATTGGACATGATTTAGGTGCTGTTAACCTGACTTCATACATCTGAAGTCTTTGAGAAACAAAAGCTAAAGTTGTTGAATTTCTTCTAAGTAGAGAACTGTTAGGATCTGTTAGTTAAATTCATTTTTGAAAATAAAGAATTTTCAATGCATAGTCATTATTTTCTGGTCATTTCCCCTCCCATTTTTCCATGTAAGTTATTTGCATCATCTCTTGCTAAATGATTCTAGTAGGCAAGTAGCAGAGACTGACCTGATGACAGAGAAACTGACTCCAGTAGAGCTACTTGGCAAGAAATATCCAGATAGTGTGCAGAAAAGGAAAAAAAAAAAAAACAAAAAGAGGAAGAAACCTCTGGGAAACAATAAAATGCCTACCATACCCACAGGAAAAAAAACAGCAATCCAAATAAGTCAAGGGAAAAACAAAAAATATTAGCCTGAATTTCCCCAAGTGTAACTGTCAGAATGATTTGCTTTAGTTCCCATCAGACATAGTGACCTTCGTTAGACAATAGAGGTGAAAACAGATCATGTCTTCTTATTTCCTGGCTTAGTAAGCAGTAGGTGTTTGGGAAGGAAGGGATGCCCTATTTTCCTCTGTATTCAACAGGAGTGACTAAAGCTTTTGAGGCACCAACCAACAAAGTGTCTAGATACAACAATCCTTCAAAATTATTTTTTTCTCACATTTCTTCATAGGGAAAATATCCTGCAGCCCAAGGGTGTAACCACCCAGAGGGTTCACTTTGCCCCCTGCCTAGACAGAGCCAATTCATGAAGACAGGGGAATTGCAATAGAGAAAGAGTGATTCACGCAGAACTGGCTGTGCGGGAGACCAGAGTTTTATTATTTCTCACATCAGTCTCCCTGAGCATTCAGGGAGCAGAGCTTTTAAGGATAACTTGGTGGGTGTGGGGAAGCCAGTGAGCCAGGAGTGCTGACTGGTCAGAGATGAAATCACAGGGAGTTGGAGCTGTCTTCTTGTGCTCACTCAGTTCCTGAGTGGGGGCCACAAGATCAGATGAGCCAGCTTATTGATCTGGGTGGGGCCAGCTGGTCCATCAAATTCAGAGTCTGCAAAATATCTCAAGCACTGATCTTAGAAGCAATTTAGGGAAAGTCAGAATCTTGTAGCCTCCTAAACTATAATTTCTAATCTTGTGGCTAATGTTCATCCTACGAAGGCAATCTAGAGCAGTCCCCTGGCTCTGGAAGGAGGTCTTTTGGGAAAGTGCTTTGGGGAAGGGCTGTGACTGCCTTTGTTTAAACTATAAATTAAGTTTCTCCCAAAGTTAGTTCAGCCTATGCCCAGGAATGAACAAGGACAGCTTGGAGGTTAGAAGCAAGATGGAGTCAGTTAAGTTAAATCTCTTTCACTGTCTCAGTCATAATATCGCAAAGGTGGTTTCAAGGGTGCTGTTTGTACTACAGGAAGAGATGTTTACTTTAGTAGGGAAGAAGGAAAATTAATCTGCTTGCTTGTAGATTGATTAAGTTAGATTTCTTCTTTCAAACAATTGAGTTTCAAACAATAATTGCCTGGAAATGAGCCTATACTCACTGTGTGTAGGACTCCTCCCACAACGGATTCTACCTTTTAACCTCTGTATCTTTGTTAGTTTGAAAGTCAAACAGAACTTGTCATTTTGGTTGCCTTTTTAGTTAAAATTCTAGCTATGAATGTCCTGTGAAGACAAGAGGGTATGGGGTCAGGAGGCCCCCATAGGAGACCCAGAATTGAGTCTTCTTTCCCAAGGAAGGAAGAAAGGTTGCAAAACTTACAGAAACTTGGAAGAGGCATTTGTGAATTTACAAATTTTACAAATATTTGCTAAGCACCCTCTTAATACTGAGATACTGAATTACTGAAATAAATGCAAAAGCAAAAGTTCTCTCTCTGCCTACCAGTGTTTCTCCCTGTCTGACAGGCTCTAAGACTATGTTCTGCCTTTCTTGTGACAGCATAAGAAAGACATAAAACGATTCAGGGCAGCGATTTACTTATCGAGAAGCCAGCTAGCCCCAGACTTCCTTTCTCACACTGATATGTACATCACTCACCATAAAAAACACCCTACTAGCATTAGATCCTCCCCTAGATTTGCCTCTGACATGTCCAGGCGAGCAGTTTTGGTCTCCAGGAACTGTTGTAGGCTGAACTGCCAAATGGGATGAAACTCCTCACCCTCTCTGGTACCATTGCCATTCCCTGACTCAGACATTTCAGGCCTGCTCTTCAGTGTCAGGGCCTGTAGTCCAAAACTACCTCCTCCAGGAAGCCCTGTCAGCATCCTCTCACGCTTACCTCCCTCCTGTACACCTACTGCTTATTAAGTGCCAGAAACTCCTAGCATTGGTAATCAAAGACAATAAGATGGGCCTCTACCTATTAGGGGGGCAGTCCTGTGGGGGAGTCCAACTTATAATAAAATGCAAACGCAATACTGTCATAGGTTATTTGAAAACAAAGGAACAAGGAGCAAAGTGGTTGAAAGAAGAATAGTTGTGTACTCTACTGGTGTGGAAAGAATGATAGGGAAGTGTTTGCCCAAACAAGTTACACCTGTTAACTTCCTCCCTCCTCCCAGCAGGTAAACATCCTGGTCCTTCTTTACCATTTCCTGGCTGAACCTAACAGCCCTCTGGGCTCAAGTGCTGATTGCAGAAGGCCTGGAGAAAGGGAAGGAAACTTTACTCCTGCCTCATTTGCATCTTCAGGCCTACTCAGAAAGCCACCTGAACTGTTAGAATCCCTACTAGATGGAAGAGAAACTTGGGATCAGAGAAGTCAACTGGCCTGGCCAAGAGCACACAGCTAGTAAGATCTCCTTCTGACATGCATTACTATAGTGGACTGTTCTCCAATTGTTATAATTGGGTAATTTATAAAGAAAAGAGGTTGAATTGGCTCACAGTTCTGCAGGCGGTACAGGCTGGCATCTGCTTGGCTTCTGAGGAGGCCTCAGGGAGCTTTTACTCATGGGAGAAGGTGAAGTGGGAGCAGACACATCACATGGCCAGAGTGGGAGCAAGAGAGAGAGTAGGGTGGGGGGAGTGCCACACACGTTTAAACAACCAGATCTCAGGAGAACTCACTCACTATTGCAAGGACAGCACCGTGCCGTGAGGGATCCACCCCTGTGACCCAAGTCTAGCACATGGGCCATTAGGAGAATTTTCTGGAGATGTCTGAGGAATTTTTTCCTCAGTCTTAAGAGTAAGGTAGGATTGGGCCAGGCATGGTGGCTCACGCCTGTAATCCCAGCACTTTGGGAGGCTGAGGCGGACGGATCATGAGGTCAGGAGATCGAGACCATCCTGGCTAACATGATGAAACCCTGTCTCTACTAAAAATACAAAAAATTAGCCAGGCGTGGTGGCGGGCGCCTGTAGTCTCAGCTACTCGGGAGGCTGAGGCAGGAGAATGGCGTGAACCCGGAGGCAGAGCTTGCAGTGAGCCGAGATTGCGCCACTGCACTCCAGCCTGGGCGACAGAGCGAGACTCCGTCTCAAAAAAAAAAAAAAAAAAGAGTAAGGTACGATTGGACTTCTGACTTTTGATAATGGCTGAGTAGATAGTATTGAACTACTTCTCTGCTCATAACAATTCTAAATTTGGGGAAAAATATTTTCTAAAAACAACTGTTTCAAGGCACTGATGAGCAACCAAAAGCAAGCAGAAACTAGAAGAGACACAAGCCTTGAAATAAGGGAAACACACTGGGTAAGATATGATATCTAACTGGCTTTCCCATGAGGGAACTCTCCAGTGTGCAAAATGCAGGGGAATAGAGTTCAAGCAGAAAACAGCTGTTTTATTTACCTATGTAACAAACCTGCACATCCTGCACATGTACCCCAGAACTTAAAAGTTCAAGAAAGAAAGATTCATAAAATGTAAAAGAAAAGAAAAAAGAAAGAAAACAGCAGTTTTATTGGACTGAGGAGTCTGAGAATAGTTTTGGGGATTATTATAGCAGCAGCTTAAAATTGAAGAGAAAATCCCAGAAAGAAGGGAGCCACAGAGAAGTGAGCTCTAAAACCTGAATACAAATTTCCCTCAAATGCTTGGCTGAATCCTAAACTATCCATGCACATAGCAAGACTCCAGGGAGACCAGTGGAAAGCAACTCTGAAAACCTGAAGAGATGAGCAAGGATTTTAGCAGCTACTCAGTACAAGGGGAGACTGAGTTTGGAGTTCAAATCTTACCAAGTTAGAAGACTCGGTAAATTCCTTGGTCTTTACTAAAACCCCAGGAGGGCCAGGTCTTGAAAGTAAGTACCAAAGCCCAGGACTAATAGCTATTCCCTAGAACTAAGGGAAAACAAAATAGACTTGCTATAGCAAAACCTAAAACCAAGTTTCCATGGGATCAAGGTGATCCACCTGTGATTTAACCGCCCGCCAGGAAAAAACTCAATCATCTTCAGAGGAAGATTACATAATCCACAGTTTAAATAATGTATCATTTGTGCTGTCTGGTATATAACCAAAAATTACTAGAATGGGAAGAAACAGGAAAATAAGACCCATATTAAATTTATAATAAAGTTAATAATTAAAGAGCCATTAGTGACATAGATATTGGAATTAGTAGACGAGAACTTTAAAACAATTACAAACATATTTTTTAAGTCAGTAGGAAAAAATGGTTATAAATAGTGAAGGAATGGGGAACCTCAGGAAAGGTGTGAAATTCTGAAAAAGAACCAGATGGAAACCCTAAAAGTGAAACAAACAATATCGAAATAACACATTCATCAAATGGAAATTATGGAAAATTAAATAATGCAGAAGAAATATTTTGTAGTATTGAGGGCAAGACAGTAACAAAGATACACATACTGGACTAGAGAGAAGAAAATTGATGGGGCTGGGGGTGCGGAAAGAATGAGACATCAATGACCCGTTACACAGTATCAAGTATAGTCTCCAGATTACAATGATTAGTTACACCTAATGATTTTTCAACTTTATGATGGTGTGAAATTATTGCAATTTTGATGTATTTCAAACTTTCAATTTTGATCTTTTCCCAAACTAGCAATATGTGTTACATGAGATATTCAACATTTTACTATAAAATAGGCTTCATGTTATGAAGCCCAATGACTTCAGGGGAGTGCATGAGTTGAACTGGCAAAAAGCAATCTGCTTTTGCCATAGGCCTCTGGAATCCTGACAGGAGGAGACCCCTCGGCCATCAGGGACACTCAAGTTGGCAGGAGAGCTGCTTAGAGAAGTGGTAGGGGCAGCACACGAGCTGAAATGGATCCAAGACAATTTGGTACAGGAGCATCTGTAGCGGAGGATGGCCAGAGAAGCTCATCTCCCTGGGCTTGACTTGCTCCCATAGGAGACTTTAGCCCTAGTGGAACAGTTGGACCTGAATTCTGAAGGACGGTCTTGCCTATCAGACGGGGTGGGTTTAACCCGAGGACCCCTTGGTCTGCTGGCCTCTTCTAGGGCCCCAGCCTGGCTACACCTGCTTGCAAGGCAGCCTTGGGTACCCCAGGGGCCCACATCATAGCTGGTGGATCATGTCTGATTGGTGGAGAGCTCCAGCGGGGTGGCCCTCATGGCCATGCACCAGCCTGCCCACTCCCTTCCCAGACTGCAGCTTCCCCCAGGTCGATGGCAAAACCCCACATCACTTTGCCAGTTTGTGCGTGTATGAGTGGGTTTTGCCTTCCTTGCCCCACCTGTACGCCTGTGTGTATGCACCCTGCCCTGACACTGTTGCAACAGGAGTGCACTCTGCTGTGCCCCCCACCGCGCCAGACCACCATTGCAGTCAGAGCCTTGGCAGGCACAGAGCCAAGCAAATGGAAAAGAGAAAAACACTGGGGTTACAATCCTAGTTTCAGACAAAAGAGACTGAAACCAACAAAGATCAAAAAAGACAAAGAAGGGCATTACATAATGGTAAAGGGTTCAATTCAACAAGAACACCTAACTATCTTAAATATATATGCACCCACCACAGGAGCACCCAGATTCATAAAGCAAGTACTTAGATACCTTCAAAGAGACTTAGACTCCCACATAATAACAGTGGGAGACTTTAACACCCCACTGACAATATCAGACAATCAACACAGAAAATTAACAATACAATACAATAAGTCTTCATTAATGTTGTCAACAGGTTCTTGTAAACTGTAAACTTAAGTGAAACAACATACTGTATACCACAGGAATTTGCCTTGTTTATGTCAATTAGCCTATAGTAAAATTAGTTTTGTTATACGGTACGTTGTCTCACTTAAAGTTGCAGTTTGCAAGAACTTATGAATGACGCAAGTGAAGACTTACTGCTTACATATATTTTAAAGCTCTTATAAATCAACAATAAAAATTTGAAAAGCCCAACGACAAAAATACATGAATAAACAAATCACGAAGAATCATTAGTCATTAGGGAAATAAAATAAACCATAATGAGCCACCACTTCACATCCACTACAATGGGTATGATTTTTTGTTGTTGCTGTTGTTCAGAAAGAAGCTTCCTATATTTATTAATGGAAATTTCATGTCCCCAATTAAGTATTTTATAACATTTGCTTAGAAGACATATGTTCAAGCAATATATGTTTTGGAAACATTGTCACATGATTTCAAGATCAGAATACATCTCCTGTCCCCTCATCCACCACTCTCGGAAGACGTTCCTTTTCACCGTGGATGGAAAGATTAAACATACACATTTCAAACAATATCAGAGTTAAAGTTATCAATTTACAACCAGCACGGGAATAAGTACTTACAATTTCAATGTTTTGGGTTGTTTCCAGTCTTTTATTTGCAATTCCTTTAGAGACAGTGGTGAATTTGGAAAATATACATATCTCCATTGTCACCCTCTTTCGTGTCCAAAATCTTGACTTCTATCCAATTTTTTTCGCTAAATTAAGAGTTTTCATTATTTCAGATCTTCTCTTCTCCACTTTAAAGTTGACATTTTACATGTCAACTTTATGTAAAATGTGCAGGAATATTTTACATAAAGTAGAAACTATGACTTCTGTAATTTGATAGAATTTGTCTTTAAAATTTGCAGAACATGACCAGGTGCAGTGGCTCACACCTGTCATCTCAGCACTTCGGCAGGCCAAAGAGGGTGAATCACTTGAGGTCAGGAGTTTGAGACCAGCCTGGCCAACATGGTGAAACCCTGTCTCTACTAAAAATACAAAAATTAGCCAAGCATGGTGGTGGGTGCCTGCAATCCTAGCTACTCAGGAGGCTGAGGCAGGAGAATCGCTTGAACCTGGGAGGCGGAGTTTGCAGTGAGCCGAGATCGCGAGTGGCTGTGATTTTTTTTAAACTGCCAATATCAAGTGTTGGTGAGGATGTGTGGGCAATCGAAATACACAGATTATTTATTAGAGTGTAAAATGTTACAACCTCTTTGAAAAACTGTTGGCAGATTTTTTTTGTTTGTTTTTGAGGCAGAGTCTCGCTCTGTCACCCAGCCTATAGCCCAGGCTGGAGTGCAGTGGCGTGATCTCGGCTCACTGCAACCTCCACCTTCCAGTTTCAAGCTATTCTCCTGCCTCAGCCTCCCGAGTAGCTGGGACTACAGGTGCTCGCCACCACGCCCAGCTAATTTTTTGTATTTTTAGTAGAGACGGGGTTTCACCGTGTTAGCCAGGATGGTCTCGATCTCCTGACCTTGTGATCTGCCTGCCTCAGCCTCCCAAAGTGCTGGGATTACAGGTGTGAGCCACCACACCTGGCCTTTAATTTTTTATTTTTTAATTGAGATGGAGTCTAGTTCTGTTGCCCAGGCTGGCGTGCAGTGATGAGACCTTGGCTCACTGTAACTTCCACCTCCAGGGTTCAAGCAATTCTCATATCTCAGCCTCCCATGTAGCTGGGACTACAGGCAAGCACCACCATGCCCAGCTAATTTTTTTGTATTTTTAGTAGAGGCAGAGTTTCACCATGTTGGCCAGGCTGGTCTCAAACTCCTGACCTCAGGTGATATGCCCGCCTCAGCCTCCCAAAGTGCTGGGATTACAGGCATGAGCCACCACACCTGGCCAGCAGTTTTTTAAAAAAGTTAAACATCTACACTGTGACCAGAAATTCTATTCTTCAACACTTACTTTATAAAAAGCTTTTGTGCATAAAAACTTTACAAAAACATTCAACATTACTTTATTCATAATTATCAAAAACTGAAAACAACCCTAAAGCTCATCAATAGAAGGGACAAATAAATTATGGAATACTACTTACTAATAAAAGAGAACAAACTACTGATGCACGCAAAATAGGGATAAATCTCAAAAACATTATATTAAGGAGGAAAAAAAGCCAAAAAGTAATTACCTGGAGGGGGTTAACTGGAAAAGTGCATGAGGGAACTTTTGCTCTAGGACTGCCAGGTTTGTAGGCCTGCTGTGTAGCAACAGACTATTACCCTGACAGTTATCAATGAGCTGAAAAGGTCCCTTGTGGTTTGAGCTGATAACATCCCTTCTGGCTGTGGCATTTAGCTTTTGCTTTGACTAACCAGCATGCAACTTCCTTCCAGTGTTGAAATTTTCCCAACTTGCAAGGCAGAGCTCACTTCTCATCCGATAAACTGAAAATGTTAGATACTCACCTTCTCATCCTCCCTTGAAGCTAGGGTGTGACATGACCTAGACTCTGCCAATCAGGTACATAAACACACACGAAACAGAAGCTAGTGATGAATTATGAAGCTCATGAATTATGAAGCAGAAGAAGGCACTGAGCAGATTCTGTTCTGGGGGTTTTGTCCACTGACTACTGTATTCAGTTTCCAGAAACAGCAGTGTCACTGGTTCTAGGAGCAGCCTCTGATGGCTAGTGTAGGTGGCACCAGTGTTGCAGCTGTGACATGTGTATCCCATGGTGGAAGCAGTTATATTGCTACCAAAGTGACTGTGTGTATATTCAGTTTCCAGAAACAGCAGCATCACTGGTTCTAGGAGCAGCATCTGACATCTAGTGTAGGTGGCACCAGTGTTGCACCTGTGATATGTGTATCCTGCAGTGGAAGCAGTTATATTGCTATCCGAGTGACTGCGTGTGTATTCAGTTTCCAGAAAAGCAGCATCACTGGTTCTAGGAGCAGCCTTTGATGTCTAGTGTAGGTGGCACCAGTGTTGCTCCTGTGATGTGTGTATCCTGTGGTGGAAGCAATTATATTGCTACCAGAGTGACAGTGTGGATAGGTTTTGGTGATTCTGGATTTGACAGCTCCAAATCTACGTTTACAGCAACCTCAGCCGCCACCAAGATTCAAACAACCCCATATCCTTTTGATAAAGTCATTTTTCTGTTTCCATTTGTCGGAATTGGTGTTAGTCGCTTGACACTAAAACACTACTTGAAATTTGGTTGAAGCTATCTTAAGTGGCGTTCTTTGTTAATTGTAGCTGAATGTATTTAAATAATCCCCAGTCCTAAGCTCTATCAGTTTTCTATTGCCACAATAATTATTTATTCTTGCTCACTTGTCCATGGGTTGCCTGGGAATCAGCTGATCTAGGCTGTGTTGAGCTGACTTTGGCTCCAAAATGTGGACTGGGTCTATCTCAGCTCCATGTATCTCTCATCCTCCTTGGACTACCCAGTGTTTGTCTTCTCATGGAAATAACAGAGTTGGACAAGACCAACCATGAAATTTTAATCTAAGCCTTCTCATGTTAGGTTTACTGATATTCCAATGGTCAGATCACATTACCAAGTCCCACATGGGTGAAGAGGGGATATATACTCCTTATATACTGATATGAACTGTGAAGCCACATGGCAAAAGGTATGAATAGAGAGATGGATGAAGAATTGGAGAAAATAATAAGATCTACCATATTAACCTATACCCCACCCCATCCTCCAACATAAAGAAAGAAACACTTAGGTAGTGACTACTGTTGGTATAATTGCTGTTTTTTTGGTTTGTTTTTGTTTTTTTTTGAGACGGAGTCTTGCTCTGTCACCTAGGCTGGAGTGCAGTGGCATGATCTCAGCTCACTGCAACCTCCACATGGCCTGATATAATTGTTTTAATAGCTATTGAAGTCTTCTCAGAAGATGCTGGGTGTGGTGGCTCGTGCCTGTAATCCCAGCACTTCGGGAGGCTGAGGCGGGTGGGTCACCTGAGGTCAGGAGTTCGAGACCAGCCTGGCTAACATGGCGAAACCCCGTCTCTACTAAAAGTACAAAAATTAGCCAGATGTGGTGGCAGGCACCTATAATCCCAGCTACTCGGGAGACTGAGGCAGGAGAATCACTTGAACCCAGGAGGCAGAGATTGCAGTGAGCCGAGATCACATCATTGCATTCCAGCCTGGGAGACAGAGTGAAACTCTGTCTCAAAAAAAAAAAAAAAAGCTGTTATCTCCAAAGAGTTTGTAAAAAGTGGACAGATACTTTGTATTGCTTAAGAGGACTCACCTGGCAGCAGTTTGCCCTCTTCATTCTGGAAGCTCAGTTGTCCCAACACATATGAGATTACTAGCCTGAATGAGCAGCTATTGAGTGGTGGAGTATGGATGCTCGGGCAGAAGTGTCCAAACACATATCCAATGTCATATCTAGTGTGATGGGGGGAGGAGGAATAAATGATTTGAGGAATACAGAATTGTTTTTGCTCCAATATAGTGTGGATAAAATAGCCAAAGTTTAGAGCAATTTACCTGGAAGCAAATAGATGTGAATTCTAGTCATTCTGCCATTTTGTAATTCAACAACCACGACTAACTCACTTAACTTTTGGTGCTTTAGTTTCCTTATCAACCAAGCAATAGAATTTTCCTGGGGGTCTTTAAGATGTCTAACAGTCCAGTCATTTTATGATTCTACCATTGTCTGATTATAAAAATAATAGGATTTGGCTGGGCGTGGTGGCTCATGCCTGTAATCTCAACACGTTGGGAGGCCGAGACGGGTAGATCATCTGAGGTCAGGAGTTCGAGACCAGCCTGGCCAACATGGCAAAACCCCGTCTCTACTAAAAATACAAAAATTAGCTGGGTGTGGTGGCACGTGCCTATAGTCCCAGCTACTTGGGAGGCTGAGGCGGGAGAATTGCTTGAACCCAGGAGGCGGAGGTTGAAGTGAGCAGAGATCATGCCACTGCACTCCAGCCTGGTGACAAAGCGACATTCCATCTCAAAAAAAAATTTAAAAAACAATAATAATAGAATTCATTTCTTCACTCAAAGACAGTGTGTCCAAGACCTGACAAGACTTCATTTTTATTTTTATTTTACTTTTTATTTTTTTGAGTCTACGTGTCCTGCTCTTGCCCAGGCTGAGGTGCAGTGCATGATCTCAGCTCACTGCAACCTCCTCCTCCGAGCCTGAAGTGATTCTCCTGCCTCAGCCTCCGGAGTAGCTGGAATTACAGGCACGCACCACCATGTCCGTGAGCCACCGCACGCGCCCAGCCTAACAGCTCTTATAATTAAATCCTTACTTCAGAAGAAAAGTTTTAAAATCTTTAAAAATCTTCAAAAATCTTCACAGGGCACCAGTGGCAGCAACAGCTTCTGTTTTTCCCTTCATGTTAAAAGCAAACAAGGATCAACTATTGGCAAAATTAAGTGCTGGAAGTATAGATCTTTTAGAGAAATACCCAGCCTTATAGTCCCGAAACCTTTTCCTGCATCTCTGCTTGAGGAATGTACAGTCTTCTCTTCACCTCCTTTGTCCCTTGGTCTGATTAGGAAAACAATCCAAGCCTCCCAGTGTGGTTACTTAAACTTACTTTAACATTTACATTTTAACTAACATCTTTATTCACAGAATGAAATATTTGGCACTTAGTCTAGGGATGTCATGCACTAGGAAACAAGTAATAGATTTCTTGTAAGGCTTGGTGGGGAAGACTTAACAATTCTGTGTCTGTGACCATTCTGCAGAACACACTGCTGCTCCTGAGGTAAAGAGCCTTAAGATTCTGGAGACTATGAAATGCTCATTCATCCAACCAGCATAGATCGTGCTCACAGTGTGCAAGGCATTGGTAGCAATGCATGTGGCAAAGTTTCACTCTCATGCAACCTACATTCTTATAAATGGGGTAGCCATAAAATAAACAAATAAGTATAGAAACAAACAAGAGGCTGGGCGTGGTGGCTCACGCCGGTAATCCCAGCACTTTGGGAGGCCGAGGTGGGCAGATCACGAGGTCAGAATATTGAGGCCATCCTGGCTAACAAGGTAAAAGCCCATCTCTAGTAAAAATACAAAAAATTATCTGGGTGTGGTGGCATGCACCTGTAATCCCAGCTACTCAGGAGGCTGAGGCAGGAGAATCGCTTGAACCCAGGAGGTGGAGGTTGCAGTGAGCGGATACGGCGCCACTGCACTCCAGCCTGGGGGACAGAGTGAGATTCCGTCTCAAAAAAAAAAAAAAAAAAAGGAAACAAGATACACTGGAAGTTCTCTAACCTTCAGTCAGTATGTTCCACACAGGGAATGAAGAACTTAGGCTATTCTTCTGTTTCCATCTATATATCTAACAAGAATTAAATTATTCTCAGAACTGATTATGCCAGTTGTAATTACATAGTTCATATAAATATCATGGAAGCCAATAAAATATGAGTTGTTTCTTGGAATGCTGAATTTAATGCTTTGTAAGGACTTCATTAAAAATTACTTAAAAATTATAAAACAGGCCGGGTGCAGTGTGTAATCAAGCCTGTAATCTCAGCACTTTGGGAGGCTGAGGAGGGTGGATCACTTGAGGTCAGGAGTTCAAGACCAGCCTGACCAACATGGTGAAACCCCGTCTCTACTAAAACTACAAAACATTAGCCAGGCATGGTGGTGCACAGCTGTAATCCCAGCTACTCAGGAGGCTGAGACACGAGAATCTCTTGAACCTGGGAGGCGGAAGTTGCAGTAAGCCGAGATCCCACCACTGCACTCCAGCCTGGGCAACAAAGTGAGACTCTGTCTCAAAAAAAAAAAAAAGTATTTTTAAAAGGTTCTCAGCCGGGTATGGTGGCTCACGCCTGTAATCCCAGCATTTTGGGAGGCCAAGGCAGGTGGATCACCTGAGGTCAGGAGTTTGAGACCAGCCTGGCCAACATGGTGAAACCCTGACTCTACTAAAAATACAAAAAAAAAAAAATTAGCCAGGTGTGGTGGCGGGCACCTGTAGTCCCAGCTACTCGGGAGGCTAAGGCAGGAGGACCACTTGAACCCAGGAGGTGGAGGTTGCAGTGAGCTGAGATTGTACCACTGCACTCCAGCCTGGGTAACAGAGTGAGACTCTGTCTCAAAATAAATAAATAAAATAAAATAACAAATTCTCACTCCAGTTTAAAGAAACTGAATTGCTGATTAAAGGTTATGGTTAATGTATGGATGCCAGTCAGCAGATCCATGCTAGTAATAATAATAATAATGGCTTTAGCTCTATATTATTTAAACATTGTTATAACAAAAAGATTAAGATTTCTCTATATCAAATATGTATATATAATATCTTCATATTTAATACGTTAGGAGGCTCAAAGATAGAGGTAGCCAGACCTCTTGACTTTTTTTTTTTTTTTTTTTGAGCTGGAGTCTTGCTCTGTCACCCAGGCTGGAGTTCAGTGGCACGATCTCTGGTCACTGCAAGCTCTGCCTCCCGGGTTCACACCATTCTCCTGCCTCAGCCTCCCAAGTAGCTGGGACTACAGGCACCCACCACCATGCCCTAATAATTTTTTGTATTTTTAGTAGAGATGGAGTTTCACCGTGTTAGCCAGGATGGTCTCGATCTCTTGACCTCATGATCCGCCCGCCTCGGCCTCCTAAAGTGCTGAGATTACAGGCGTGAGCCACCGCGCCCAGCCGACTCTTGTAACTCCTCAAATCACCCCATCTCTTGACCTGACCCCGAGATAAGCCTCCTTATTTCCACACTCTAGACTTTCTTACGTGCTTATAAGATAGAGATGTTGACTTCCTGCACGTTTCCCATTCCTTCGTTTCATGCCTTTCACGTACATCATAGCCGTAATGTTTCTATTTCTGGATTATAACAAAGGTGTTAAGTTGGTTTTCTTTGGTCTTCTCCCCTGTGTTTCTCTGCCATCTCTCGTTTCTTGTTTCTGCCCTGCCCGGCTGTGTGTCTTGTGCATTACGGTTATCCTACTCATCTTTCACCTGATTTAAAAAACTCATTCAGTCTAGGACTTAGAGTGTAAGTGTGTTCAAATAGTGTTAGGTTCACATAATGTCTAAAACTTTTAGTAGGAAAAATGCTACCTTGCCAATTTGTCTGTGTCTGAAAGGAATTTGCATTTAAAAATTTGGCAATTTGACAGAGGCAAATTTAAAATTTGAAAATATTTTCTTAAATATAGACTCATTTACAGATAGAAGGCAAGGGCAGGAAGTGATGGTGACCAGCGGTGCCTGAATGAACTCAGGAATGTAACTGTAGATCTAGGGTCCCAAACTTTAGGTTTCAAAGGATCTCTTGGAGTACTTGCTGAAAAATGTAGGTTCCTAAGTCCACTGCCAGAAACTCTGACTCAGTGGGTCAAGAATGGAATAACTAAACAATGGCCCCATGCAGTGGTTCATGCCTGTAATCCCAGCACGTTGGGAGGTTGAAGCAAGAGGATCACTTGAGGTCAGGAGTTCGAGACCAGCCTGGCCTACATGGTAAAACCCCATCTCTACTAAAAATACAAAAAAATTAGCTGGGCATGGTGGCATGCACCTGTAATCCCAGCTACTTGGGAGGCTGAGGCAGGAGAATTGCTTGAATCTGGGAGGTGGAGGTTGTAGTGGGCCGAGATTGTGCCATTGCACCACTGCACTCCAGCCTGGGCGATAAAGTGAGATTCTGTCAAAAAAATAAATAAATACATGAAAGAGAGAAAGAAAGAAAGAAAGAAAGAAAGAAAGAAAGAAAGAAAGAAAGAAAGAAAGAAGGAAAGAAGGAAAGAATAGAAAAGAAAAGAAAGAAAGAAAGAAAGGAAGAAAAGGAAAGAAAGAAATGCTGAATAAGATATAGAGACAACATACAGCTGGGCCAGCTTATGACATCTGATAGTGGGGAGATTTGGGGCTGGGTCCTGAATCTGAGGGTAATTAACTCCCTGTAACTTCTTTTCCTAATCTGTAAAAGGATAGTGACAGCGAGACATTGTGATGGGGTTAATATTTTGGAAAACATCCACATGTTTTTTTCCTTTGCCTTTCTGAGTGTGTCAACTACTTCCTACCTGTCCAGCCTAACACACAGGCATGTTGTCTTGGTAGGGATGGAGATCTGAGAAGGAGATTAGAATTTGTGTCTGAAGGTTTGCAAAGAGGAAGAAGTCGTCAATATTTAGATTCTGACATTCAAGATGGAATTATGTAGCAAGACCATTGCTATGAGACAGTATTTCTATTTTCCTTTATCCACTCCCACCCTGCCCTCTTCCCACCCTCACAGTAGCATGAGAAAAACCACATATGGAAGTTTCAGGTCATAAAAATTATCTTATAATTTAGAAAACAGGCCTTGTGCCTATGACAGCCAGGCCATGAGGCTTAGAGCTCTGTGGTAGAATGAGGATATGTTAGGGAAAAGCAAAGAAAATCCCTCCCCTCTTTGGCTGAGGACATTATCAAAAGGAGAGCAAGAAAGAGAAGAGAGAAATGGGCTTGAGGTGAGTGCAGATAAGGGGTGCATGGATCCTGAGGGCAAGGAGAGGAGCTTCTTTCAGTTTCCCTCCTTTCCAACGACTACTTTGAGACAAGAGCTGTCCCTGGGCAGTAGGAAAGGGGAGGGACAGTTGCAGGTTCAATAGATGTGGGTGGGGCCAAGGCCACAGAACCCAGAAAAACAACTCATTCGCTTTCATTTCCTCACTGACTATAAAAGAATAGAGAAGGAAGGGCTTCAGTGACCGGCTGCCTGGCTGACTTACAGCAGTCAGACTCTGACAGGATCATGGCTATGATGGAGGTCCAGGGGGGACCCAGCCTGGGACAGACCTGCGTGCTGATCGTGATCTTCACAGTGCTCCTGCAGTCTCTCTGTGTGGCTGTAACTTACGTGTACTTTACCAACGAGCTGAAGCAGGTCAGTGCAGTGCAGTGCACTCAGTCTTCGAGGCGCTTAGCAAATGTCTGGTTACCTGCTTCTTTGCATGTCAGCTTGCCCCTCTCTGAAGACTTTCCTGCTTCCTTTCTCTGTGGGTACACTCTAACTGCTAAATCACATAACAACTGAGGTCTTTGCAAAACTGTAAGTTCAAGAAATTGTGTAAACTAAGTGCAGTTACACAACTGGCTTCACTAGTTACTAGCAGATGTGGGCAACAAAACTCCTGAGGGATTTTTTGTTTTTAAAAGTATGTGTATTTTATAATATCAGCCATTGCAACTCTTCATGAAAGCTTTCTGCTAAATGCTTTGTAGTTCTTTTGTTTTCCTTTTCCAAACTTTTATTTGTGCACATTCAATTGAAAAAGATAATTTTTACAGGTTCTTTGGTGCCCATTTTCAGCATACAAAAATGTAAAAGACTATTCACAGATAAAACACATTAGCTCAAAATGGAAAAAAATAACAATGACAACAATAAAACAACCTAAGGTAGTGCACACTGTGACAGCTCTGCTTATGGGGACATGAGAATTCCTGCGAAAATAAATAGAATGTCCTTTTGTAAAAGCAGCAATGACATGTCTTGTAAACTTCCTTTTTTATATTATAACAAGGTTTGGAATAAAATCCAAAGGGACTGGAGCTTACACTGTAGCCATGAATAAATAAAAGAGTCTATTTCCTCAATTACCGTTGGTTCAGTTTTCCTTTTGAGTCCAATGTGCAGCAGGTTTTAAAAGGTGCACAGTAAGAGATTCTAACCAATTAAGTGGTGAATGATAAAATTTCTTTCCTGCTTTCAAACACAAATGGGTAAATCTGTTCCACAGCAGTAGCAACAGCCTTTAAATAGGGCCTTGTTACTGTGATACTTCCTGTCGAAAAAATCTGTAATGTAGCTCTTAGAGTCTTTATCCAATAGCACACAGCAGGATGAAGTTCAGATTCATAACTCACATGAGGTCTATTGCTCTTTGTGAATTCTGGCAAACAGATTTCTTTATTTTTAAATTTTTTTATTTTACTTTAAGTTCTGGGATACGTGTACAGAACGTGCAGGTTTGTTACATAGGTATACATGTGCCATGGTGGTTTGCTGCACCCATCAACCCATCATCTAGGTTGTAAGCCCCACAGGCATTAGGATTTGTTCTAATGCTCTCCCTCCCCTAGCCTCCCACCCCCGACAGGCCCCAGTGTGTGTGTTGCCCTCCCTGTGTCCATGTGCTCTCACTGTTCAACTCCCACTTATGAGTGAGAACATGCAGTGTTTGGTTTTCTGTTCCTGTGTTAGTTTGCTGAGAATGATGGCTTCCAGCTTCATCCATGTCTCTGCAAAGGACATGAATTCATTCTTTTTAATGGCTGCATAGTATTCCATGGTGTATATGTGCCACATTTTCTTTATCCAGTCTATCACTGATGAGCATTTGGGTTGGTTCCAAGTCTTTGCTATTGTAAATGGTGCTGGAATAAACATATGTGTGCATGTGTCTTTATAGTAGAATGATTTATAATCCTTTGGGTATATACCCAGTAATGGGATTGCTGAGTCAAATGGTATTTCTGGTTCCTTGAGGAATTGCCACACTGTCTTCCACACTGGTTGAACTAATTTATACTCCCACCAACAGTGTAAAAGCATTCCTATTTCTCCACATCCTTCCAGCATCTGTTGTTTCCTGACTTTTTAATGACCACCATTCTAACTGGAGTGAGATGGTATCTCATTATGGTTTTGATTTGCATTTCTCTAATGACCAGTGATGATGAGCTTTTTTTCATGTTTGTTGGCCACATAAATGTCTTCTTTTGAGAAGTATCTGTTCATATCTTTTGCCCACTTTTTGATGTGGTTTTTTTCTTGTCAATTTGTTTTACAAGAAACAAATTCCTTGTAGATTCTGCATATTAGACCTTTGTCAGATGGGTAGATTGCAAAAATTTTCTCCCATTCTGTAGGTTCCCTGTTCACTCTGATGATAGTTTCTTCTGCTGTGCAGAAGCTCTTTAGTTTAATTAGATCCCATTTGTCAATTTTGACTTTTGTTGCAATTGCTTTTGGTGTTTTAGTCATGAAGTCTTTGCCCATGCCATCTTGAATGGTATGCCTAGGTTTTCTTCTGGGGTTTTTATGCTTTTAGGTTTTACGTTTAAGTCTTTAATCCATCTTGAGTTAATTTTTGTAGAAGCTGTAAGGAAGGGGCCCAGTTTCTGTTTTCTGCATATGGCTAGCCAGTTTTCCCAGCACCATTTATTAAATAGGGAATCCTTTCCCCATTGCTTGTTTTTGTCAGGTTTGTCAAAGATCAGGTGGTTGTAGATGTGTAGTGTTATTTCTGAGGCCTCTGTTCTGTTCCATTGGTCTATGTATCTGTTTCCATACCAGTAACATGCTGTTTTGGTAACTGTAGCCATCTTCCCTGCTTTGTTGTTGCAGGTTGGAGTTACAGTTCTTGACTCATGAATTCTTGAGGGTGAGGGTAGCTGTATCAGAGCTGTGTCTGCTTCTGCTCATTAGTATACCTCTGGGTCTAGCATGTGGTTCCCAAGTAGCCACTAATACTAATACTTGTGGTTCACTACATACTTATTGAGTGAATGAACAGCCTTCACAGATGTGGTAGGCACCACGAATATGCAGGCGACAAGGGTAGAGTCAGGCTCAACCCAAAGCCAGGCCCTAAGTCACTGAACACTCCCGTTTTGTATTCCAGATGTAGCTAGTCCTGGTGAACTTTCACATCTTTGAAATGTTTTGCTTTTAGTTATGTGGCATTCCTGTGTTGACAATAAGTGAGAATACAAAGGACTGGCATTCTGCCTATTCCTGGGGCACGGGCATGTCATGGGTAAAATCTGTAATAAAGAAGTTATCAGATAGACACAGCTGTTCATGATAAAACAATTGAAAAGCAAACTGCCAATCTCTGCCTGTGGATGGTCCATGTACAAATTGAGGTATCTTTGACAGACAAAACAAACAAACAGTGCTATTTTAATTTATGATTTTCTCGATGAAAACCCCTGGAACTATGACTGCAAAATTGCTGAAAATAAACCAACTCAGTTTTTGACTTCTAATATATATTTTAATTCATTGTATATTAAATAGTAGAGAATTATGAGCTGCAAGGAACGTCAGATCCTCCCCCCACCACCACAACCACTTTTTACAGACGAGGAGACAAGAAATAATGTACTCAAGTTCAGACAAGGCTTTGGAGGCTGGCCGTGGGGCGGCTAGCACCCAGGTCTGTAGGCTCTTCCCTCCACAGTGGGATGTCCACAGGGTTAACCTATCTACACCTTGTGATGTACACTGTGCATGCACAGCGCATCCTGCAGCACCAACTCTGCCAGCTGACTAGGAAATGAAAGGCTAAGGATCTCAGAAAAGTATAAATTGTGCAAAAGACATAGAGTAGTAACTATTTGCTAGGGAAATGTAGTTTGCATATCCTGTGGAATGTAAGTTTGGTTATCCCAATCAGTCGGAAATTTTTCTTTTGGAAATGGATGAGGCAGACTCTTGTTTTATTTGCAACTAATTATGAAAATTATGGCTACTATTAGATGACCAGTAAAGTCAGGTTTATTGTAGGACACATTTAGAAAAGATTTTCTTTTGTAAGAAAAAAATATTAATGAAACTGTAATCATACCTTTAGCTTTAAGTCTACACGAGAGACTGGAATACTGCTATGTTCACCAATTTGGAGCCAGAATTTCCTAACCTTTCTTAACTTTGCAGCATAAACAGAGTAAAGCTGTTACTCCACACACAAGTAGCTCCATCAATTTGCTTACATTACAAGTTGGACTAATTTTAAGATTGAATCAACCAGTTCTTTACTCAACTGACTCATGCAATTGTCTGTATATATAATCAAATTTCTTTTTCAATTCTACTATAAAAATGGAAATTTCATATAAGGCTTAAGATCTTCCCACTTGCATACATTTTTCCTAATTGCATATTGACATATGAACACATGTACATTAGGCATGCAGAAGAATTCATTGAGAGTGCTAGAAAGCTAGGAGAATTACAGATATTGAGCAATTACTGTGTACCAGCAACTTTGAAAAGTATTGCCTGGTTTCAATTCTCATAACAATTCTATTATGTAAGTATAATTACCCCATATTACAGATGAACAAACTAAAGCTCAGGCGAAGTTAAGAGATTTGTTCAAGATTACAAAACTAGTAAAAGGTAAAACCTGATTTTGAACCCAGGCATGAAGGAGGTACTCAATAAATTGAAGCACCTACTTTTTTTTACAATACATTTTTTCAATACAATACAATGCTATTTTTATAGTAGCGTTCTAATTACTGCTGAAAAGTCTCCTGAAGGTGTCACTTTCTTCATCAGAAATTTTCCAAAGGGAAAATAAGTTTGAATCTTCTGTGTAGACTTTGGAAAAGTATATTCAACATAAGTATTAATTTCTTAAAATTGAATACAGGCTCCACTTTGTCTGGTGAACATTTGCAGAAGATACACTCTGCAAGGATTATAGGGTGTAAGGGTTAAGGAAGGCTTCATAACATTGGATTGGACCTTCACAAATAGCCTGTAGACCAGCAAACATGAACAACAAATATGGGCTTAGCCCCTGAAATCTGTGTCCCTCTGAGAAAGTTTTATGATAAAGGAATGGCCTGTCACTGTGACATCATAGATGGGGAGGAAAAAGGAGAAGGGCTTCCTCTCCACGGATCTCCATAAATGATCCTTTATGCTATTTGCAGTTTGCAGAAAATGATTGCCAGAGACTAATGTCTGGGCAGCAGACAGGGTCATTGCTGCCATCTTGAAGTCTACCTTGCTGAGTCTACCCTGCTGACCTCAAGCCCCATCAAGGACTGGTTGACCCTGGCCTAGACAACCACCGTGTTTGTAACAGCACCAAGAGCAGTCACCATGGAAATCCACTTTTCAGAACCAAGGGCTTCTGGAGCTGAAGAACAGGCACCCAGTGCAAGAGCTTTCTTTTCAGAGGCACGCAAATGAAAATAATCCCCACACGCTACCTTCTGCCCCCAATGCCCAAGTGTGGTTAGTTAGAGAATATAGCCTCAGCCTATGATATGCTGCAGGAAACTCATATTTTGAAGTGGAAAGGATGGGAGGAGGCGGGGGAGACGTATCGTATTAATTATCATTCTTGGAATAACCACAGCACCTCACGTCAACCCGCCATGTGTCTAGTCACCAGCATTGGCCAAGTTCTATAGGAGAAACTACCAAAATTCATGATGCAAGAAACATGTGAGGGTGGAGAGAGTGACTGGGGCTTCCTCTCTGGATTTCTATTGTTCAGAAATCAATATTTATGCATAAAAAGGTCTAGAAAGAGAAACACCAAAATGACAATGTGATCTCTAGATGGTATGATTATGGGTACTTTTTTTCCTTTTTATTTTTCTATATTTTACAAATTTTCTACAGGGAATGTTATAAAAATATCCATGCTATCCATGTATAATTTTCATACAGATTTAAAGAACACAGCATTTTTATATAGTCTTATGAGAAAACAACCATACTCAAAATTATGCACACACACAGTCTGATCTCACCCCTGTAAACAAGAGATATCATCCAAAGGTTAAGTAGGAGGTGAGAATATAGCTGCTATTAGTGGTTGTTTTGTTTTGTTTTTGTGATTTACTTATTTAGTTTTTGGAGGGTTTTTTTTTTCTTTTAGAAAAGTGTTCTTTACTTTTCCATGCTTCCCTGCTTGCCTGTGTATCCTGAATGTATCCAGGCTTTATAAACTCCTGGGTAATAATGTAGCTACATTAACTTGTTAACCTCCCATCCACTTATACCCAGGACCTTACTCAATTTTCCAGGTTCCTTCCACCTCCTCCTGAAAGTATTTCTGGAAAATACTCAGAAGGGATCACAGGCTCTAGCCAGCAATTGGTGCTAACCTGGGCTAGTCCCTGTGGCACAAGCTCCACCACGACCATCCTTGTCAAACTCCACCTCAGTTGATAAGTTGTTGCCTGCTGCCATTACTGCCTGATCACAGGCAGCTTTCAACTCTGCACCTTGCCTCTCACAGCTGAAGCCTCCCATATTCAGCCATTTCCTGCTGAGATAGCTTACAGCTGATGTGAAGTGAAAAGGCATACCGCTCCCTCCTTTCTGTGTTATGCACACCTTCTTGCCCCAACAAGTTACAGAGACTTGTGAGCCTGCTTGTTCAGTGTAATCAAACCGAAGCTTGGCCAGAGCCAACTCATACTGAGTGAACTGGGACAGTGTCCAGGGAAAGTTTGCTCTTCCTGGAACCACCCTCGGGCCTTGTGGCTGATCCCAGTTTCTCGTCTCTTCCTTCTTGATCCTTTCCCACAGTTTGCTAGACATGCTCTCATATTTCTGAATCATATGTGACTGAGTGCCTTCCTTGGAAAGGTTTTGCATCTCCCAAGTCAATTCGAGGTGCAACTGGATGTTTACAGGTGGGGCAGGCAGGGGCAAGGAAATGTACCTAAGTCCATGGCCAGTCATATCTCAACTCAGGAGGCCCCAGCTTCACCTCCAACTACATATACTACGGGAATGTTTTTCTCTTGTAATTTAAAAGAGGAAGAAACAAAATAAACATTTGTTTAAAAGTAAATGAATGATCTATGTCAGGGTGTGTGGAAGAAATTTATTAACTCAAGTTTGCACCTTTGCATTTGAGGGACCTTGGCCAAATGTCCAAGGGTTACATGGCTGAGTACAGAACTGTGTGATTCTAGCTGGGACCTCTCATAAACAGTTAAGATATTTTGATTTAAAATGATATTGTCTTTCTATAGGAAGGAGTGAATCATCGTTCAATTTGATCCTCCCTTCAACCTTTGCAGTACCTTAGTTCAAATAACAGATTAAAATTGTCATTTTCTCATTTATTTCCCTAGGTAGTCAATTCAGCAGATTTTTTTTTTTTTTTTGAGATGGAGTCTCGCTCTGTTGCCCAGGCTAGAGTGCAATGGCACGATCTCAGCTCACTGCAAGCTCCGCCTCCCGGGTTCACACCATTATCCTGCCTCAGCCTCCCAAATAGCTGGGACTACAGGCGCCCGCCACCACGCCCAGCTAATTTTTTGTATTTTTTTAGTAGAGATGGGGTTTCACTGGGTTAGCCAGGATGGTCTCGATCTCCTGACTTTGTGATTCACCCGCCTCGGCCTCCCAGAGTGCTGGGATTATAGGCATGAGCCACCGCGCCTGGCCAATTCAGCAGATTTTTTCAGGGAAATAACGTCTCTTCCATCCCACTTGTTAAAACAAAACAAAACGGAAGAGAAGAAATGAGCAAAGCAAACAAACAAACAAACAAAACCCTTCTGGCTTTGTTTGGACCTTCTGTTTCCTGTTTTTCTCAATTAAACAATTATCAGCCTAAAGAGTTCTGGGTGGTTTGGGATGGGGTGTGTGTGGGTGTGTGTGTGTGTTTATAACATCAAGCAAGGATTTGTTGATGAGGGTGAGGAGCTCGTTGATAATGATCTGACTATTGCCATTGTTTACTTTCAATCAGAACAGGGAGAAAACCTTCAAAGAGTGTTTAAGGTCTCTACCAATAAATCCCTAGTTAGTGTAAACATTTAATGAGACAGCATTCAGATTTCTAGTGGCAACATGGTCCAGATTTTGCCAGCCAGAGGAGTAGAAATCAGATCAGTAACTAGAATCTATTTAGCTAGCCACAGCTAGAAACAGAACATGACCCCCTCCCAAATGACTTGGCTGTTTTTTATTTAGGATCCTAAAATGTAAACTGACTCCACTACCGACCTTGTATCTAGGTAGGTTTCCAGCTTCAAAATGGGATACATACCATGGCAGAACTGGAAGAGACCTCAGAATCACCATAGTGAACCGGCTCAAAACTATAAACAGACACAGGAGAATGGAAGCAACTTGTCAAGAAAAGCACAGCTGTTTAGTAAGGGAGGCAGGGAAGGACACTGTGACTCCAGATGCCTGAAGCACACCTGCATCCTTTCCACCATATCCAGCTGCTTACTTTTATTCTTTTTTTTTTTTTTTAAGGACAAAGGAGAGCATGCTTACTTTTATTTCAAACAGGAACTTACTCAATATGCCAAAACTTCTTTAAGTCTGCTATCAGTTTCTGTTGTCTTAACTTCCAAATGAACAAAAATAAAAAGCACTTATGCAAAATATTGTGTTATATTCCATCTCAACCCAGATGCAGGACAAGTACTCCAAAAGTGGCATTGCTTGTTTCTTAAAAGAAGATGACAGTTATTGGGACCCCAATGACGAAGAGAGTATGAACAGCCCCTGCTGGCAAGTCAAGTGGCAACTCCGTCAGCTCGTTAGAAAGGTAGGTAACCTCACCAGGTGACCTCACCAGCAGGCGGAGAAGGCCAGAAGAATTCCTTAAAGCAAAGGAATCTTTAAGATAATCAAGTCTAGACTCTTCATTTTACAAATAAGAAAACTTAGGCCCAGAGTATTTAAGTAATTTTCCCCAAATTCATAGAACTAGGAAAATGGGGCATAGCAGCAAAGGGCAGGACCTGGCCGACTCCTGGTCTAGAGTTCATTCCTCTGCCCCGGACAGCCTCCACATCTAGTCTAACCTTTTGATCTCACATTATGGAAACTGAGGCACACACAGGGTAATGAAGAGAAGGTCACAAAGTCATAAAGAATGTGTGGCATTGTTTTTCATTCAAAAGATAAAGAAGATCAAATAATGATATTTTATATTCTTCCCACATTGCTGATGTCTGGAATTAAATATTTGTTTTTGTATGCATATAGAGATAAAGAAAGAGGAAAATAAGAGGAAAGAAAGAGGAAAGGAAGGGAAGGGAAGAAAGAGATACTTTGAGAAATTGAAGGTGGTTTTTTCTTAATTTACAGCCAATAAATAACAAATTACAAAAAGTATCTGTTTATGGAAGTTGCTTAAACAGGACCTCCAGCAGAGACATGTTAGTTAACAGTTTATTTTACTAAATGTGGCAGAGTGACAGATCTAATCAAGTTTCTTCTCTTAGGCTCTTCCTTCTTTATAAGATGGCATTAAATAATATTTGCAGCCGGGTGTAGTGGCTCACGCCTGTAATCCCAGCACTTTGGGAGGCTGAGGCAGGCGGATCACCTGAGGTCAGGAGTTGAAGACCAGCCTGGCCAACATGGTGAAACCCTGTGTCTACTAAAAATACAAAAATTAGCAAAGTGTGGTGGTGTGTGCCTGTACTCCCAGCTACTTGGGAGGCTGAGACAGGAGAACTGCTTGAACCTAAGAGGCAGAAGTTGCAGTGAGCTGAGATCATGCCACTGCACTCTAGCCTGGGCAACAGAGCAAGACTCTATCTCAAAAACCAAAAAAAAAAAAAAATTGCTTCTGCCTATGTGAAAATATCAGATGAGAACACAGCTATAAAAATACTCTGTAAACTATGAAGTACCACATACACCACCATTGTTTAAAGACGTTAACTGGGGGAATTCCCAGGGTAGGAGGAGAATGTGTTTTACACATGTTTATAAGTCCATTGTTTGGTGTTCTGCATCTGTTTCTCCATATAAATACTGTTATGTTGGTGGTTAGGGATCAAGCTGATAATCCTGAGCTGTTTTCACAGTAGAGCCCTGACACATGTGAGATGCTATTTCTATGGGAAATGAAACTAGACTTCCTTCTAGGAGTCCTAGAAACATACCTGTTCTGTGGCTGCCCTGGCGGCATTGCTCCAGACAGGGGGGCCCACTCCACACAAGCTGTACGGAAGCAGCTATGATTCCACCACTGCAAATGACAGCAAGTGTTCAGGGGGCAAGGACCAGGAGACTAGGAAAAGCCTGGGCTGGAGAAAGGTCCTGAGGAAGCTGAGAAATGAAACTCCCAAGTTCCCGGGATAGGGGCTTGGGGAGGGTGGAGGTGCGATTGTCCAGCAGGGCAGAGAGACTGAGAACTAGGGTGGAAATCTGGAGACTGAGGAGAGGGCTGGGTGCTGTGGACAGGGAGTGGGGAGATAAGAGAAATAGTGAGGACATTTCTCTTTCCTGCTATTCCTGCCATTCTCCCTCCCATTCTCACATCCTGCTACCAACTAGAATAGCGGGAAGCTGGGAGAGAACACAGAGGGAATAGGTGAGAATGTGGGAAAAATAATTCTCTTTTTCTTTTCAGGCACATTAGTTGAACAGATTTATTCCAGTAAATATCCTATGCCCATTTCATACATTATCTCATTTAATCCTCACGACAGCTCTGAATAATAAATCGTTATTATCCTCTTAAATATATTTTAAAAATAGATTAATAAATTGAAGTTTAGATCAGTTAAATAACTTGAACAGTCTCACAGAGCCAGTAACTGAAACATTTGAATGCAGGGCATCTGGCCATGCTTCTAGTCACTCTTTTTATTTTGCCTCCCACATTGTAGGAAAGACCCTTTTCTTTTTCCTGTTGCTTCCCCTTCTTTCCTTCCTTTCTGTTGCAGAATAAGAGAAAGAGAGTAAGAGTGGGAAAGAGAGACACACAGAGAGAAATGAGAGGCAGAGATAAGAGAGAATGCTGTGGTTTCCTCTCACTTCCCCTTCCCGTAAGTCAGTGCCCAGGGAACTGATTACAGTCAGTCCACCGCCACCACTCCCTGCCCCCATTATCCGGCATCAGGGCTTGCGGTGGAGGGAGAAGCAGAGAGCTTCTGCTTTGGGCTGGAAGTACAGAGAAGGCAAGTTTCTGACAGTTGCAACATTAACTACAGTGACTGAGAAAGAGGGCAGTGATGGGAGAAGGTGGCAGGAGGGACAGAGCTGAATTCAGAAGCCATGGATGAGCCAAGTCAGGGTCTTCCCATTTAATAGAGAGGTTTGGTTTTCACTCTTTCTTACTGGTTTTCCCCACTGGTTAGTACAAAGGCTGGGGGAGGTTACTAGATATTTAGCAAAGATATGGGAAGATGGTAAAATATCTTTATGTTGAGAATGGCTCAGCCACATTCTCAGAAGTGAAAGAATGACACGGTGTTGTCAGGTTATACCTCGATAGGCTATGTATGTCTGTGGGCATCCTGAGAGAGAGGAAGTGTGCCCTGCATCTTGAGGCTTGGGTCTGTCCAATAATTTTAAGCCCCTGGGCTCTGCTACCCAGTGCACTTATACACACACACACATGAATGTGCACATACATACACCCCACACACAGAAAGTGACATGACATGGCTGCCACACCCATCAGCCACATTTGGCTGACATCACATGGCGGATGGCTTCTTCCTCCTGCACTGCTCCAGGTGTGGCCTTTCCAAGACTTCATCCAGCAACAGAACTTCCCAGGCAGGGGACCATCCCTTGATTGCTGTGCTGGGACAGCTATCTCAATATTTATCCCAGCTCCCACCCCACCCCTTACAGACCCTATGCTTGACCAACTTAAAACTTCCCAGATTGATAATGCATGTAGAAATTTCCTGTTAGACATCAGCAAGATGAGCCATAGGCATTCTATAGTCAGTTTAAATTTTTAGGGAAATTAACAAGCTTTATTCAATAATATTTGCAGATGATTTTGAGAACCTCTGAGGAAACCATTTCTACAGTTCAAGGTAGTATCTTTTTTGTTGTTATTTTAATTTTTTACTGTCATCTTCATGACAGGTTGTGAATAGTTCTCCATTCTCCTTCTCTGTGTTCTCATCCACTCATCCATCCTCTGATCTGCTGCTCCGTATCTCAAGCCACTTGTTGATTCTACTTCCCTCTTTACATTGGCAGCTAGGAAGCTCAGAACCAAATCTGTGGCCCATCTATGGTCAGAACTTTATTTCAACTTAATTTTATTCTTCCCCATGAATTTTCCTTTCACCTTAATTTCTTCACTTATTAGTTTCTACCTTCTAATGTGTTACAAAGAAGCCATCTTAAATCGTTTCTGGGAAATTGAGAGAAATAAATGAAGTCCCTTAAAGTTACCCTTCTTTGTTTCAGGCCACCACTGGGCTCCAGGTCTTTCTTTACAAAAGCCTCCTCCTCCATCATCCTTTTCCCAACAATCTTTCTACCCACCCACGATCCTCATCCTGCGGTCTCCACCTGTGGCCACACCACCCTCTTGTTCATGGTCAGCAGCCTTCTCTCGACCCACCTCTCTGTGCACTACTGTTGCCCAGGCTGGCTTCTTTAGCTTTCCATCTGGCACTCCATCGTACTTTACAGCTCACGTAATTGTCACCTCTTCAGAGAGGGCTTCCCTGGACACCTTTCTAAGTAAATTCCCTGCACTCTGTTATTTTTATCACATGTACCTTGTTCATTTCCTTTCAGTTATTTTTTTAAATCTGTTATTCTTTTCCAATGCAATAAACTTCTTCATCACTTGGCACCCCCATTTTCCTTTATTAAATATGTTTTCTTAAATATAAAGGACAGGACCTGTTCCTGGGGTCTAAGCCTTCTTTCTTATCATTTCTCCAAAGGTGAAAGCAGTAGTGAGAATGTTGAACACTCCACCTATTCAGATGAGGCATACCAGATTAATGGTCTACAGCAGATAGATGCATGTACTGTTTTCAGTGTTGGAAGAATAAAATTCTTTGTTATTCATCCCAGTAAGGTGAAACACAACTCTGTATACCAAGATATATCCATGGTACCTCGATATACATATTTGCAGGTTTCTTTTTTGGGAGGTGTTTGCTATAACCAGTTGGAAATTTCCTCTTTTAAAAATTTGCTTTCAAATCTAGGCTTTCCTATCCATATCCTTGAAATGACCTTAACAAATCTGTTGCCCAGGCTGGAGTGCAGTGGTACGATCATGGCTCACTGCAGCCTCAACTTCCTGGCCTCAAACAATCCTCCCACCTCAGCTTCCCGAATAGTAGGACTACGGGCACAGGCCAACACGCCTGGCTGATTTTTCTATTTTTTATAGAGACAAGGTTTCACTATGTTGCCCAGGCTAATCTCAAACTCTCAGGCTAAGTGATCCACCCATCTTGGCCTCCAAATTGTCACTTTCTAATTCATATTTTCTGTAGAAGGCTGTAAGTCCCTTGAGGACATGGTCAGTGAAATCAGTGATTAATATTTGTAGCCCTCTGGGGTGTAGTGCCTTACCCTAGCACTGTCTGTTTGATGAAAGAATATAATTTACTTACAACCAATGTAAGCACACTTGGGAAGTTTGAACTGATTCTTTTAGAGAAAGTCATTTGTTACATTTCTTTTTTTTTTTTTTTTTTTTGACGGAGTCTTGCTCTGTTGCCCAGGCTGGAGTGCAATGGTGAGATCTCTGCTCACTGCAAGCTCCGCCTCCTGGATTCACACCATTCTCCTGCCTCAGCCTCCTGAGTAGTTGGGACTATAGGTGCCTGCCACCATGCCCAGCTAATTTTTTTGTATTTTTAGTAGAGATGGGGTTTCACCGTGTTAGCCAGGATAGTCTCAATCTCCTGACCATCTGTTTGTTGGTACCACTCTGTTTATTTCTGTATGTAATTCAAGGTGGAAATTTGCCAATACGTAGTTATTTGCACAATTTAACTCAGCAGGATTATTACACAGCTACAGCTATTTCTTTATTTATATTTTTGGAAAAGGGATAGAATCTTCACTTTGTTGTATCTTCACTTTGTTTCTCTTTGGACCCTACCCGTGAGACACTAATAAATTATAATCCATGTTACTGCTTATTCTTTCCGTGTAAAGTACTTTTCAAGTTGATCATAAGCTGAGGTAGGTTGATCATAATATCAAAATGTTATTTTTATGAAAACTCATAGAATCAACTTTGGAAGCCCAGTATGCTTACGATGGCTGATTGACAACACCTATGAAGAGCAAGGTATTGGAGAACTAGTTTGGCAAGTGTTGATGACCCTTTATCATTTCTCTTTTAGAAAAGCAACAAAATATTTCTCCCCTAGTGAGAGAAAGAGGTCCTCAGAGAGTAGCAGCTCACATAACTGGGACCAGAGGAAGAAGCAACACATTGTCTTCTCCAAGTAAGAGAAACAACAAATAAGTGACTTAAGGGAAAATAATGGAAGGATTGTGCCAAGTAACTTATTTTTTAAAGAATTTTATCTGAAATGTTTATATGGCTATCTACAAAATGCTCAGTATTAATCAGATCTCAGATTGACTGTTTTCAGATGCAAGATTACAGACAAACAGCTCAATTATTGCCACGACATAACTGGCCTCAGGAAAATTACAAAGTGGGAGAATTTTGTCTTTGCAGTTTTCAGGATCCCATTTTTTTTCCTTCTTTAGAGTAATTTCTCGCTCTTTCTTTCTTTCTTTTTCTTTCTTTCTTTCCTTTTTTTTTTTAGACAGAGTTTCACGTTTGTTGCCCAGGCTGGAGTGCAATGGCACCATCTCGGCTCACTGCAACCTCCGCCTCCAGTGTTCAAGCAATTCTCCTGCCTCAGCCTCCCAAGTAGCTGGGATTACAGGCACGCAGCTCCACGCCTGGCTAATTTTGTATTTTTAGTAGAGATGGGATTTCTCCATGTTGGTCAGGCTGGTCTCGAACTCCCGACCTCAGGTGATCCGCCCACCTCGGCCTCCCAAAGTGCTGGGATTACAGGTGTGAGCCACTGCACCCAGCCTTTCTCTCTTATGATTACTTCTTCCATCCCTCTGCACTTCTCTTCTTTGCTCGCCATCAAATCTCCCTTCTCTTTAAAGGTTCTAAATCATTTACTATCCCTATGAATCACTAGGTGCTCCTAGTGGCATTTACATTAAATTAAACCACAGGAGATTGCCAATATTTGACCATATTTTACTTACACAAATGTCAGTTTCATATAGTTTAACCATATATGTTACATCTAATTTATATATAGGCAGAACATGTGTCGATATGTTGCTATGTAATACTGTGCATGGGTATTTTTTTGTTTTTTTTTTGTTTTTTTGAGACGGAGTTTCACTTTTGTCGCCCAGGCTGGAGTGCAATGGTGCCATCTCGGCTCACTGCAACCTTTGCCTCCCAGGTTCAAGCGATTCTCCTGCCTCAGCTTCCCGAGTAGCTGGGATTACAAGCATGCACCACTACACGAGGCTGGTCTCAAACTCTTGACCTCAGCTGATCCACACCCCCCCGGCCTCCCAAAGTGCTGGAATTACAGGCGTGAGCCACCACACCAGGCCTCTGTGCATGGGTCTTATAGTGTAAATATCTAGGTTGGAATCACAGCTCCTCTTCACCTAGATGCATGTTTTGAGCTAATTACTTAACCTAGTCAAGCTTCAGTTTCTTCATATGCAAAGATGAGACAAATCTTAACCCACAAAATGATGCAAAATGTCTGGTCTATTGTATGTCCTCAAGAAATACTCACCTTTATTTTTGTCAGAGGCTTTATCCCGTAAATTTGTCTAAAAATATTTCAGACATCAGTTAATAGATAAAAAGTTTGTTTGGGGGTTTGGGGTTGGTTGGTTGGTTTAGTTTCTTCTGGGTAGTTGCCTTCTTGACATTCTTGGACTCATGTTTTATAAATGATTGTCATGTTCTGCCTACAAGTGAGGGGATTATTATGATGTTACTGCTTGCTACTCATCAATAAATATAACTGGTTTACGCTCTGGAAAAGCCCAATTTTGCACCAATCGTGGAGATAGGCTAAAAGTGTAAATGAATATCATTTTGGAAGGTTCATTTTTCATTCAAAACCTTTGAGTGTGAAAGATTCAAGGATCTGAGGATCTTTAAATCTAGGCTCCTTTGCCAACTTTGTGCCTCTATTATTTTTGGCTAGAGACGCCATCTGCTTGGATGTGCCTTTGACTCTGGAGAGCTGAGAAAGATCAAGGGGGGACCCAAAGAGTCCAAAAGGAATGGCAAGAACTTCTGAGATTTAGGCCTAAAGAAATAGATACGTTTATTTCGGTTTCCTTCTGGATTGTCCACTTAAGTTCACCAGCACAAGACGGGAGGAACAGATTCAGGGCAGAAGTTCTGCCCAGGAGAAACCATTGCTATCTGAGTGGGCCATCCCTTGTGCTACCATTCTAAGTGTGACACATGTGGCATAAGCAGCTGACAAGGTATAAAAAGACAAGGGACTCCCAACAGTTCCCAATGTCACAATGATGCAGGAACCTCCCAATTTCTATGTGACTAGAATTTATAATCCACATTAAGATTGAAGGAGGAAGAAGTTTGATATTAGATTGAAATCCCTGGCAAGCCCAACAAAAATATAGGCTGGCCACAGCTGCAAAAAAGCTCCTTGCTTTGCTACAAATTCCCTTCTGTTAACGCTCTTTCTCTCTAAATTTCCTACAGACTCCAAGAATGAAAAGGCTCTGGGCCGCAAAATAAACTCCTGGGAATCATCAAGGAGTGGGCATTCATTCCTGAGCAACTTGCACTTGAGGAATGGTGAACTGGTCATCCATGAAAAAGGGTTTTACTACATCTATTCCCAAACATACTTTCGATTTCAGGAGGAAATAAAAGAAAACACAAAGAACGACAAACAAATGGTCCAATATATTTACAAATACACAAGTTATCCTGACCCTATATTGTTGATGAAAAGTGCTAGAAATAGTTGTTGGTCTAAAGATGCAGAATATGGACTCTATTCCATCTATCAAGGGGGAATATTTGAGCTTAAGGAAAATGACAGAATTTTTGTTTCTGTAACAAATGAGCACTTGATAGACATGGACCATGAAGCCAGTTTTTTTGGGGCCTTTTTAGTTGGCTAACTGACCTGGAAAGAAAAAGCAATAACCTCAAAGTGACTATTCAGTTTTCAGGATGATACACTATGAAGATGTTTCAAAAAATCTGACCAAAACAAACAAACAGAAAACAGAAAACAAAAAAACCTCTATGCAATCTGAGTAGAGCAGCCACAACCAAAAAATTCTACAACACACACTGTTCTGAAAGTGACTCACTTATCCCAAGAGAATGAAATTGCTGAAAGATCTTTCAGGACTCTACCTCATATCAGTTTGCTAGCAGAAATCTAGAAGACTGTCAGCTTCCAAACATTAATGCAATGGTTAACATCTTCTGTCTTTATAATCTACTCCTTGTAAAGACTGTAGAAGAAAGAGCAACAATCCATCTCTCAAGTAGTGTATCACAGTAGTAGCCTCCAGGTTTCCTTAAGGGACAACATCCTTAAGTCAAAAGAGAGAAGAGGCACCACTAAAAGATCGCAGTTTGCCTGGTGCAGTGGCTCACACCTGTAATCCCAACATTTTGGGAACCCAAGGTGGGTAGATCACGAGATCAAGAGATCAAGACCATAGTGACCAACATAGTGAAACCCCATCTCTACTGAAAGTACAAAAATTAGCTGGGTGTGTTGGCACATGCCTGTAGTCCCAGCTACTTGAGAGGCTGAGGCAAGAGAATTGTTTGAACCCGGGAGGCAGAGGTTGCAGTGTGGTGAGATCATGCCACTACACTCCAGCCTGGCGACAGAGCGAGACTTGGTTTCAAAAAAAAAAAAAAAAAAAACTTCAGTAAGTACGTGTTATTTTTTTCAATAAAATTCTATTACAGTATGTCATGTTTGCTGTAGTGCTCATATTTATTGTTGTTTTTGTTTTAGTACTCACTTGTTTCATAATATCAAGATTACTAAAAATGGGGGAAAAGACTTCTAATCTTTTTTTCATAATATCTTTGACACATATTACAGAAGAAATAAATTTCTTACTTTTAATTTAATATGATCAAATGTATCAGTTCTTTTATTTATGGCTAATACCTTTGTTCTGGGTTGAGTTGTGCTGTGTCCTCAGGAAAGATATGTTGAAGTCTTACCAGTACCTCAGAATATAACCTTATTTGGACATAGGGCCATTGTGAATGTAACTAGTTAAGGTAAGGTCATACTGGAAAAGGATGGGCCCTTAATACAAGATGACTAGTATTTTTTTTTTTTTTTTTTGAGACAGAGTCTCTCTGTCACCCAGGCTGGAGTGCAATGGCTTAATCTCGGTTCACTGCAAACTCCACCTCCCAGGTTCAAGCGATTTTCCTGCCTCAGCCTCCTGAGTAGCTGGGAATTACAGGTGTGCACCACCATGCCCGGCTAATTTTTGTATTTTTAGTAGAGATGGGGTTTTGCCATGTTGGCCAGGCTGGTCTTGAACTCCTGACCTCAGGTGATCCACCCCCCTCGGCCTCCCAAAGTGCTGGGATTACAGGCATGAGCCACTGCGACTGGCCCACTGGCATTTTTGTAAGAAGAGGGAAATTTGGGCCGGGCGCGGTGGCTCACACCTGTAATCCCAGCACTTTGGGAGGCCGAGGTGGGCGGATCACGAGGTCAGGAGATCGAGACCATCCTGGCTAACATGGTGAAACCCCCGTCTCTACTAAAAATACAAAAAATTAGCCAGGCGAGGTGATGTGTGCCTGTAGTCCCAGCTGCTCGGGAGGCTGAGGCAGGAGAATGGCGTGAACCTGGGAGGCGGAACTTGCAGTCAGCCAAGATTGCGCCACTGCACTCCAGCCTGGGTGACAGAGAGACTATGTCTCAAAAAACAAAAAAAAAAAAAAAGGAGGGAAATTTGGTTATTTGGTTTCAAAGACACACGGGGAGAACACTGGTGATTACAGACACAGAATGGAGTGATGCCGCTGAGAGCCAAAGCATGACCAAGGATTGACAGCCATCATCAGAAGCTCGGAAGAAACAAGGAAGGATTGATTCTATGCAATCTCAGAGGGAGCACGACCTTGCTGACACCTTGATTTCAGACTTCTGGGCCCCAGAACTATAAGAGAGTACATTTCTGTTGTTGAAAGCCACCTGCTTTCTGACATTTTGTTCCAGCAGCTGTAGGAAACTACCTTACCTTTCATATCTTGTTCAAGAAATCTTTTGCACTATCATACAGATATCACCATATATTTTTTCTAAAAAAATTAAAGTTTAGCCTTCATGGTTTGATAATGTCATTCAACTGTAATTTAATTTGTGTATGAGGTGAGATAGGAATCTAATTTTTTTTTTGAGATGGGATCTTGCTCTGTTGCCCAGGCTGGAATGCAGTGGCGCAATCTTGGCTCACTGCAACCTCCACCTCCCAGGTTTAAGAAATTCTCTGCCTCAGCTCCCCAATAGCTGGGATTACAGTCGCATGCCACCACACCCAGCTAATTTTTTTTGTATTTTTAGTAGAGACAAGATTTCACCATCTTGGCCAGGCTGGTCTTGAACTCCTGACATCGTGATCCACCCACCTTGACCTCCCAAAGTGTGGGGATTACAGGTGTGAGCCACTGTGCCCGGCCTAATTTTATATTTTACCATATAAATAGCCAGTTGTCCAACACTGTTTACTGATTAGTCCCTCATTTTCCCTGCTGATTTTAATGTCTGTTCTATCATACACCAAGCTCTCATGGTTCTGTTTCTGTGGATATTTTTTACCTATTGATCTAGTTGTTCATTCCTGCTCTACGTCATGTTTTTATTTAAAAATTATGGTAAACTCTACTTTACATAGAATTTATCATTTTAATCCTTTTTGAGTGTACAATTCAGTGGCATTAAGTACACTGACGTTGTTGTGCAACCATCACTACTATTCATCTCCAGAAAGTTTTCATGATCCCAAAATGAAATGCTGCACATATTAAACAGTAACATCCCATTACTCCCTGGTAATTACCATTCTCCCTAATTTGTCTATAAATTTAACTCACTTAAGTATCTCATATATTATGCAATATTTGCACTTTTGTGACTGGCTTATTTCACTTACTATAACGTCTTCAAGGTTCTTCCATGTTGTAGCATGTGCCAGAATTTCCTTCCTTTTTAAGGTTGAATAATATTCTATTTTACATGTATAACACGTTTTATTCATCCACTCATTGGTCAATCATACCATCTGGTTTTAACCACTGTTGCTTTACTATAAATCTTGATATCAGGGATGTATGCTCCCTTTCTTTAGTCCTGTGGTACAAAATAATCTGAGCTATTCTTAGCTCTTACTTTTCCCTGTTAATTTGGGAACCACCTAGAAGTTGTGTACATGCAGACACACACACATACAAACACACACACACAACCTTTTAGAGATTTTGATAGAATTGCATTGAATTGCTGGATTAATCTGGGGATAGCTTCCATGTTTTAGATACTTAGCTTGATACTTCCCAAACGTGAGTGACTGTATCCCCCCATTTATTTAGACCATCTAAAATGACCTCCAATAAGGTTGAATTTATTTACTTATTTTTGACATCGTGAATGGGATCTATGTCTTTTAATGACATTTTAAAGTAGCTGATGCAGGGAGCAGGTATTAACTTTGAGAAACAGTGCAACATAGTGATTGAGAGCATTGTCTCTGGATCCAGATTGATGGAATTCAAATCCTAGTTCCACCACTTACTTGAACAGATTAGTAAATTCTGGGTCTCAGTTTCCAACTCTGTAAAACAGGGTCGTTACTGTAGTCCTCTCACATGATTGATGTGAATATTAATAGATTTTACACTTAACATACTTAGCACAATGTCTGGTACATAATAAATGCAAACAAAATTTTTAACTATTGGCCAGGCATGGTGGCTCATGCTTGTCATCCCAGCACTTTGGGAGGCCAATGCAGGCAGATCACTTGAGCCCAGGAGTTTGATACTAGCCTGGGCAACATGGCAAAACCCCGTCTCTACAAAGAATACAAAAATTATCCAGGCCTTGTGGCATGGGCCTGTGTTCCCATGACTCAGGAGGCTGAGGTGGGAGAATCACTTGAACCCAGGAGACCAAGGCTACAGTGAGCTGTGATCACACCACTGCACTCCAACCTGGGCTACAGAGAGAGACCCTATCTCAAAAAAAAAAAATTGTTAACCGTTATTATTATATTGATCTGTACCCATAAACCTTACCAAACTCTCTTATTCAAAGCTTTATGAAGATACAAAGATCTTCAGTAAAAGGAAACACATAATAAAATATAAAAATCAGAATTATTGTAATTTTATTTATAAACTCTGTATTTTCTACAATATCTAAAACATAACTGCATAAAACAATTACAAGTCTATGTTAGTGGGTGCATATATAAAGATCTAATTTGGGACAATAATATGGAGTTAGGAGGAAGGGATAGAGCTCTAAAGAAGTAAATGTTTTTTATGAAATTGAAGTTAAGTTGGTATCAATTCAAAATAGATTTTATAACTTTAGGATATTATATATAATCTTTATGGTAATCACACAGAAAATATTTATAGAATCTACATGAAAGGAAATGAGATGGTAATAAAAAAGTGTCACCATAAAAAGTCAACTAAACACAAGGGAAGGTAGTAATGGAGGAAAGGGACAAAGGAAGCTATATGACACAGAAAACAAATAACAAATGGCAAAAGTCAGTCCTTCCCTGTCCATAATTACTTTAAATATAAATGGATCAAATTCCCCAATAAAATGCTATAGATAGGTAAAAAGACTAAACACATTAATTAAAAAAACCATGATCCCACTACATGCTGTCTCTCAGGGACTCATGTTAGACCTAGGAACACACATAGGTTGGAATTGAAAAGATGGAAAAAGATATTATTGCAAATAGTAACCAAAAAGGAACTAGAGTGGTCATACTAATCTCAGACAAAAATAGAGTTTAAGTGTAAAACACTTACAAGAGACAAGGGTTCATCTAGATTGGATTTACAAAGAAGTTGTGAAGAGATAGTCTAGAGAGTTCCTGTATATCCTACATGCAGTTTCCCCTATTGTTAATTTTTTTGTTAGTATGATACATTGGTCACAATTAATGAAACAATACTAATACATAATTATTAAGGAAAGTCCATACTTTATTTAGATTTCCTTAATTTTTACCTAATTTTTTTCTGTTCTGAAATCCTATCCAGGATACCATGTTACATTTAGACTTCCTTTCTTTTTAGACTCCTCCAGACAGTGGCAGTTTCTCAGATGATCATTGTTTTGAAGCCTTTACAATTTTGAGGAGCAAGCAGGTTTTCTGTAGATAACACTTTATCAGGTTAAAGAAATTACTTTCTATCCCTAGCTTCCTAAGAGTGTCAATATGAATAGGTTGTTGAATGCTTTGTCTAGATATATTGAAATAATTATATGATTTTTTGATCCATTTACCTGTTAATAGGTGCCTGCATTAATAGATTTTTTATTTATTTATTTATTTATTTATTTAATTTATTTATTTATTATTATTATACTTTGAGTTTTAGGGTACATGTGCACAATGTGCAGGTTAGTTACATATGTATACATGTGCCATGCTGGTGCGCTGCACCCACTAACTTGTCATCTAGCATTAGGTATATCTCCCAATGCTATCCCTCCCCCTCCTCCCACCCCACAACAGTCCCCAGAGTGTGATGTTCCCCTTCCTGTGTCTATGTGTTCTCATTGTTCAATTCCCACCTATGAGTGAGAATATGTGGTGTTTGTTTTTTTGTTCTTGCGATAGTTTACTGAGAATGATGATTTCCAATTTCATCCATGTCCCTACAAAGGACATGAACTCATCGTTTTTTATGGCTGCATAGTATTCCATGGTGTATATGTGCCACATTTTCTTAATCCATTTGACACAGCCATCCCATTACTGGCTATATACCCAAAGGACTCTAAATCATGCTTCTATAAAGACACATGCACACGTATGTTTATTGTGGCATTATTCACAATAGCAAAGACTTGGAACCAACCCAAATGTCCAACAATGATAGACTGGATTAATAGATTTTTTTATAATGGTAAATTATTCTTATAATCTTGAGACAAACTCTAATGGATCATGTTATTTATTATATACAGTAGTGAATTTAGTTTGCCAATATTTTACTTAGGAATTTTACTTATGTTTAGTTTACTTATGTTTGTTAATAAGATTATTTTAAAATTTTTCTTCCTCATTGTATTCATATGCCATTTTGGTGTCAAGGTTATACTAACTTCCTAAAATAAGGCAGGGAGTTTTCCCTTTTACAGAAGAGTAGAATTTTGATAAGTGGCTCAGTTTATTTAATGATTACACATATATTCATATGATTAATTTCTTTTTATTTCATATTTATCTAAAAAATATTCAAATGTTTGAACATTTATTAGCATTGATTTGTGAATAACTGATGCATATTCCACAAAATCATTCTCCAGTTAGCCTATCTTGATATAAAGCATTTTGGTTTTTAATTCAAACACTTCGTGGAACACGGGTATCTCTTACTACAACATATTTCAGATGGGTAGTTTGCAAATATTTTCTGCCATTATATGGGTTGTCTCTTCACTTTGTTGGTTTTTCATTTGTTGTGCAGAAGCTTTTTAACTTAATATGATCACATTTGACCATTTTTGCTTTTGTTGCCTATGCTATTAGGGCATTACCCACGAAATTTTTGCTCAGACCAATGTCAAGGATACAGGATAGAGTGGCAGTTACCCAGAGGCTGGAAAGAGTGTAGTGGCTGTGGGGGTCAGCGGGGGTAGGGGGTTGGGAATGAGGTGTGGATGCTTAATGGTAAAAAAAAATAGTTAGAAAGAATGAATAAGACCTAATATTTGATAGCACAGCAGGGTGACTATAGTCAATAATAATTTAATTGTATATTTTAAACTAACTAAAAGATGATAGTTGGATTATTTGTAACAAAAAGGATGAATGCTTGCGGTGATGAATGCCCAATTTTCCTTGATATAGTTATTAGACTATTGCATGCCTGTACCAAAATATCTCATGTACCCCATAAATGTATGCATAAATGTATACACCTACCGTGTATCCACAAAAAATAAAAAAATAGAACGGGCCCAGAGGCTTACACCTGTAATCCCAGCACTTTGGGAGACAGAGGCAGCAAAACACCATCTCTACAAAAAATACAAAAATTAGCTAGGCATGGTGGCACACACCTGTAGTCCCAGCTACTTGGGAGACCAAAATGGGAGGATCACTTGAGCCCAGGAAGTGGAGGTTGCAGTGAACCAAGATCTCGCCACTGCACTCCAGCCTGGGTGACAGAGTGAGACCTTGTCTCAAAAAATAAATAAATAAAAAGTAAAAGAAGAAAAACAAGAAAAAATCATTTTTCAAACAAAGTTTAGAAGTGAAAAAGTTAATTTGCCTCTACAAAACTCAGTTCAGCAGTTTAAACAAAACATATTCTGAGAAAATTCTCAAATTACATCCCACATACCATTGAAATTCATGTTAGAACTACATGTAGACATTTCGAACAGTGTGAATAGAGACAATTTAGGTAATATGCTTCTTGGATGTTAGTAGTACTAAGTGAGGCAGCAAAGGGTCACAAACGGAAAGAAACCAAGCTCACAAACAAAACTAACTTCAAAAGGTGGTTTGTTTGTTTGTTTGTTTGTTTGTTTGTTTGTTTTTGGGGGACAGAGTTTCAATCTTGTTGCCCAGGCTGGAGAGCAATGGCACAGTCTTGGCTCACCGCAACCTCCGCCTACTGGGTTCAAGTGATTCTCCTGCCTCAGCCTCCCAAGTAGCTGGGATTACAGGCATGTGCCATCACGTCCAGCTAATTTTGTATTTTTAGTAGAGATGGGGTTTCTCCATGTTGGTCAGGCTGGTCTCGAACTCTTGACTTCAGGCGATCCGCCCACCTTGGCCTCCCAAAGTGCTGGGATTAAAGGAGTGAGCCACTGCTCCTGGCCACTAACCTCAAAAGTTTTTATAAATAGATGTTTGACACCACAGTAAATATATCCACCCTTCCAAAGGAAGCTCTCTTTGCAGAAACAGATAAAAATATCTTGGAAGGTTTTGAAATCTCAGACTAAAGAACTACCAAATTTTGTCTGTGTGCAGTGGCTCACGCCTGTAATCCCAGCACTTTGGGAGGCTGAGGCAGGCAGATCATGAGGTCAGGAGATCAAGACCATCCTGGCTAACACGGTGAAACCCCATCTCTACTAAAAATACAAAAAATTAGCCAGGTGTGGTGGCACACGCCTGTAGTCCCAGCTACTCAGGAGGCTGAGACAGGAGAATTGCTTGAACCCGGGAGGCCGAGCTTGCAGTGAGCTGAGGTCACACCACTGCACTCCAGCCTGGGAGACAGAACGAGACTCCGTCTCAAAATAAATAAATAAATAAATAAATAACGAACTACCAAATTTGTGCAGCTGGATGTGCAATGTCAATTTGCAGAAGAGATTATTGATTAAAAAGAACCCAAAGAGTAGCTAACCAAACCACCAAATGCAGCTGACGTCAAAGAATTTATGGCAATGCAGATGCAAAAATAATGTCCTTGACCATGGTGGCAATATGATAAAAGCCTTTCTTTCAAAAATGGCCCAATGTCTTTTTGGAACCATAGAAAGACGTGTATGAAAGTAAACAAGAGGAGCATCAGCAAAGAGCAAAGCTCTATTTAGCAACTTTCTTCATCCAAAAGCATCAAACCTCATTCCCTGAGAAACGGATATAGCAACATCAACATGATGGAGAATCTTATCAGATCCTGAAATTGACCCTCCACCACCTAACTCCTCTGTGCCATCACCTGCCACAACCAATGACAAACCACTACAGCTTTAACCCCCTTCCTTATGTCTCTTCTCAACTTTCTTCTACCTTAAATTTCTACTTCATTTAGTAAATATAAGCCACCTTGTTTTGCTTGTACATTTTGTCTACAGTTTTTCAAGCGATTTATTTTGCATCTTATTTGTTTAGCTATATTAGAAGTGTAATTTTTGGTCCAGTGTACAAGATGTACATGCTATTACATAGAAAGTCACTGTTAACTATATTAATTGTTTTGTGATTTGGGTTTTAAGTTACATTTTAACTTTTAAAAAGAAAATCTTATCCATTGGTGAGGGGCCAAGATGGCTGAATAGGAAATGCTCTGGTCTGCACCTACCAGCAAGACCAATGCAGAAGGCAGGTTATTTCTGCATAAATTGAGGTACCCAGTTTATCTCACTGGGACTGGTTAGGCAGTGGGTACAACCTATGGAGAGTGAGTAGAAGCAAGGTGTGGCGTTGCTTCACCTAGGAAGTGCATGGAGCTGGGGGACCTCCCTCCTTGAGCCAAGAGAAGCGTGAGGGACTGTGCTACCCAGCCAGGTTACTACACTTTTCCCGCGGTTTTTGCAATCCACAGATCAGGAGATTCCCTCTTGTGCCAACACCACAAGGGCCCTAGGTTTCAAGCACAAAACGGCGTGGCTGTTTGGGCAGACACTAAGCTAGCTGCAGGAGTTTCTTCTTTTTGTACCCCAGTGGCACCTGGAACCCCAGTGAGACAGAACTGTTCACTCCCCTGGAAAGGGGGCTGAAGCCAGGGAGCCCAGTGGTCTTGCTCAGTGGGTCCCACTCCCACAGAGGCCAGCAAGCTAAGAACCACCGGCTTGAAATTCTCACTGCCAACACAGCAATCTGAAGTTGACCTGGGACCATCAAGCTTGGAGTGGGGGAAGGGGCGTCTGCCATTACTGAGGCTTTAGTAGGCGGTTTTCCCCTGACAGTGCTAAGGAGGCTGGGAGGTTTGGACTGAGCAGAATTCACCACAGGGCAGCAAAGAGGCTGTGGCCAGACTGTTTCTCTAGATTCCTCTTAACGGGGGAGGGCATCTCTGAAGGAAAGGCAGCAGCCCCAGTAAGGAGCTTACAGAAAAAATGTCCATCTCCTTGGGACACAGCACCTGGAGGAAAGGACTGCTGTGGGCACAGCTTCAGCAAATTTAATCTTTCCTGCCTGCCGGCACTGAAGAGAGCAGCTGATCCTGACAAGGAGGATTCTCCCAGCACAGTGCACCAGCTCTCCTAAGGGACAAACTGCCTCCTCAAGTGGGTCCCTGACCCCCATGCCCCCTGACTGGGAGAGACTTCCCAACAGGGGTTGACACATACCTCATACAGGACAGCTCTGGCTGGCATCAGGCCAGTGCCCCCCTGGGATGAAGATTCCAGAGGAAGGAGCAGGCAGCAATCTTTGCTGTTCTGCAGCCTCCACTGGTGATACCAGGTGTAACAGGGTCTGGAGTAGACCCCCAGCAAACTGCAGCAGACCTGAAGAAAAAGGTTCCTGGCTATTAGAAGAAAAACTAACAAACAGAAAGCAACAACATCAACATCAACAAAAAAGACACCCACACAAAAAACCCACCCAAAGATTATCATCCTCAAAAATCAAAGGTAGATAAATCCATGAAGATGAGGAAAAACCAGTGCAAAAATGCTGAAAATTCCAAAAACCAGGATGCCTCTTCTCCAAATGATCACAACTCCTGTCCAGCATGGGCACAAGACTGGAAGGAGAATGAGATTGATGAATTGACAGAAATAGGCTTCAGAAGGTGGGTAAAAACAAACTTGTCTGAGCTAAAGGAGCATGTTCTAACCCAATGCAAGGAAGCTAAGAGCCTTAATAAAAGGTTACAGGAACTGCTAACAAGAATAAGCAGTTTAGAGAAGAACATAAATGACCTGATGGAGCTGAAAAACACAGCATGAGAACTTCGTGAAGCATACACAAGTATCAATAGCTGAATGGATCAAGCAGAAGAGAGGATATCAGAGACTGAAGACTGCTTTACTGAAATAAGCTATGAAGGCAAGGTTAGAGAAAAAAAGAATGAAAAGGAACAAACAAAGCCTCCAAGAAATATGGGACTACGTGAGAATACCAAACGTATGATTTGATTGGTTTACCTGAAAGTGACGGAGAGAATGGAACCAAGTTGGAAAACACACTTCAGGATATTATCCAGGTGAAGTTCCCCAACCTAGCAAACAGGCCAACATTCAAATTCAGGAAATACAGAGAACACCACTAAGATAGTCCTTGAGAAGAGCAACCCAAGACACATAATCATCAGATTCTCCAAAGTTGAAACGAAGGAAAACATGTTAAAGGCACCCAGAAAGAAAGGTCAGGTTACCTACAAAGGGAAGACCATCAGACTAACAGCTGATCTCTCTGCAGAAACTCTACAAGCCAGAAGAGAGTGGGGGCCAATATTCAACATTACTAAAGAAAAGAATTTTCAACCCAGAATTTCATATCCAGCCAAACTAAACTTCATAAGCAAAGGAGAAATAAAATCCTTTACAGACAAGCAAATGCTGAGGGATTTTGTTACCACCAGGCCTGCCTTATTCTACCAGAGGTAGAAATTGGAGCTGGTACCATTCCTTCTGAAACTCTTCCAAACAATAGAAAAAGAGGGACTTCTCTCTAACTCATTTTATGAGGTCAGCATCATCCTGCTATCAAAACCTGGCAGAGATACACAAAAAAAATTTCAGGCCAATATCCCTGATGAACACTGATGTGAAAATCCTCAATAAAATACTGGCAAACTGAATCCAGCAGCATATAAAAAGCTTATCCACTATGATCAAGTCAGCTTCTTCCCTGGGATGCAAGGCTGGTTCAACATACACAAATCAATAAACGTAATCCATCACATAAACAGAACCAATGACAAAAACCACATGATTATCTCAATAGATGCAGAAAAGGCCTTTGATACAATTCAACATCCCTTCATGTTAAAAACTCTCAATAAACCAGGTATTGATGAAACACATCTCAAAATAATAAGATCTATTCGTGAAAAACCCATAGCCAATGTCATACTGAATGAGCAAAATCTGGAAGCATTCCTTTGAAAACCAGCACAAGACAAGGATGCCCTCTCTCACCACTCCTATTCAACATAGTATTGGAAGTTCTGGCCAGGGAAATCAGGCAAGAAAAATAAATAAAGGGTATTCAAATAGGAAGAGAGGAAGTCAAATTGTCTCTGTTTGCAGATGGCATGATTGTATATTTAGAAAACCCCAACCTTTCAGCCCCAAAACTCCTTAAGCTGATAAGTAACTTCAGCAAAGCCTCAGGATACAAAATCAATGTACAAAAATCACAAGCATTCTTATACACCAATAACAGACAAACAGAGAGCCTCGTAGCAGAACTGAAGGAGATAGAGACACAAAAAACCCTTCAAGAAATCATTGAATCCAGGAGCTGGTTTTTCGAAAAGATCAACAAAATTGATAGACCGCTAGCAAGACTAATAAAGAAGAAAAGAGAGAAGAATCAAATAGATGCAATAAAAAATGATAAAGGGGATATCACCACCAATCCCACAGAAATACAAACTACCATCAAAGAATACTATGAACACCTCTACGCAAATAAACTAGAAAATCTAGAAGAAATGGATAAATTCCTGGATACATACACCCTCCCAAGACTAAACCAGGAAGAAGTTTAATCTCTGAATAGACCAATAACAGGCTCTGAAATTGAGGCAATAATTAATAGCTTACCAACCAAAAAAAGTCCAGGACCAGACGGATTCACAGCCAAATTCTACCAGAGGTACAAGGCGGGGCTGGTACCATTCCTTCTGACACTATTCCAATCAATAGAAAAAGAGGGAATCTTCCCTAACTCATTTTGTGAGGCCAGCATCATCCTGATACCAAACCTCGCAGAGACACAACAAAAAAAGAGAATTTTAGGCCAATATCTCTAATGAACATTGATGCAAAAATCCTCAATAAAATACTGACAAACTGAATCCAGCAACACATCAAAAAGCTCATCCACCATGATCAAGTGGGCTTCATCCCTGGGATGCAAGGCTGATTCAACATACCCAAATCAGTAAATGTAATCCAGCATATAAACAGAACCAACGACAAAAACCACATGATTATCTCAATAGATGCAGAAAAGGCCTTTGACAAAATTCAACAACATTTCATGC